>NC_000020.11:6733001-6884516 GCF_000001405.40 Homo sapiens | reverse complement strand
CCATTCAGGCTTTATTCTAGTAGAGGTAAAACTCTTTTGACAATTCTTAAGTATACAGGTAACTTTCTATTAAACGGTTTCCTCTTGCACATACTTTGGTCTCCAGCCCTAGCCAAAACCCAGGCATGCAGAACTGGCAAACTGCTTGGAGGAAGACCTTCCAAAGATCTCAGAAATTTCAAGAAAGGCTTTTGTGGTATTTCTGGCCCAGCCAGAATCAGGAAGTACCTGATCACTCACAAGGAAACTAGTTTTTGCACAATTTCCAACATCTCCCCCCACAACCCCCACTTCATCCTAAAGCCTTTCTTGAGCCACACATTCCTGCCCCTTCCCCAAACACAGGTTTCTGCAGAGTCAAAACTTTTGATAGTTCAGATAAGGTTCAAATGAGCTGCTGAACTCTTGGAGGCTGGAAGTGAACCTAGCATTTTGTTCCTTGCTCATCCCCGGTAATGAGTATACCAGGCTGGCTATGTCAAGGTGGTTTGGGTCACATAGTGAAAATCAACATAATTGAAAGCATTAATCAACAAACAATTACATGTAATGGTACAGAATGACTACTTATGAGGCCTTACATGATTCTGACCAAATCTGCCTATGGTAATAACAGGAGGCACACAACTGTACCAGAGGGTTTTTGTTTTGTTTTGTTTTTTCAAGAAATAAATGCTGAGGGCTTGCTTTGGTTCAAAAAAAAAAAAAAAAGAAAGATGCTTTCAAAGGTAGAGATGAGGAGAACAAGATTTGTGTTATGGAGCCAATGAACTTCAAATTATCCTCCAAATGTAAAGTATATTCTAGATATTTTACTGGGTAGAGCGGGAAAAAAGCTTCAACACATTTCAAGTGGATGTTGCTTTGAGTTTTTCTTTAAGATGCTTACTTTAGAAGACAGATTTCATTATGCTTTAGTTGCTTTCAATCATTAGAACTTTGGAGTTGATTTTGAAATACTTATTTCTTGCATGAACTTGGGGAAGTAGGGGAAGCAATTAGATCTTGTGATTTTTAAGGCTACACTGAGGATAAGGTAAGAAAATATCATAAATTTTATTTCATGCTTTCTTGCCAATTGACAGAAATGTGCAGTCCATATGAATTCATATAACAAGGGTGGAATGTTGGAAAAACCAATAAAGATTTTGTGGTCTGACCTATAATAAATGTAGTTTGATTTAGAGTCTGTTTTTCACAACATGGCAAAATGAATCATAAAATAATGGGCCCTGAAACTCCTGTACTTTTTAACAATAGCCTGGGGACAGTTTACTGTGTAATGAATTGTAATTAACCCACCTTCAAAATATTTTATGAGTATTTTGCCAATTAGCTTCGCATGCTTGCTAATGACTCATGGCTAGTGCATGTCTTTACAGAACCGGATTTTACAGAGCACATCGCCCTGTTAACTCAGCACAAGTGTGCAACATGGGAAGGATGACATAGGTAGGTTGGAACACCCTCAACAGCATCCCTACTTTGCCAACCCAGTGGACTCAGCCATCATCCCCCAAGCCTAAGATAATCATAATGGCTTGTGGTGTCAGAGAACTTTGGTTTCTGATGGATTGCAAGGAATGCTTCTCTCCCTGCAGACACATCTGTTGTTACTTAGCACTAACATATATAATGCTACTAATTGTGGAGCCATCTTTGTTTTCTTTACTTAGCACTCTGGTTAGCATTATTTTATCTTCATGGTTCATGGATTTCTGCCACTGACAACATAAGTCCACTCTAGAGAAAATAAAACAACTACCAAGCTGTCTCCTTACATTGCTTTGCTTTGAAATTAGAGGGATCGTGTACAGCCAAGCATGCTTCCTAGGATTCTAGCTCTGATCTTGCTATGTCAAGAGTTGGCTTTTCCTTGAAAAACTAGTGCTTCCACTGGCCTGTGAACTGACTAAAGGGACTGCAGAAAGAAGCCCAGTCTGGCTCTAAATTCCATGCACTGAGAAAGTTAATCGCAGGCAAGGTCAAACGTTCCCAACTCTTTGTTCTTCAGAGGCCAAGCCAACAAATTCCAAAGCCAATTTAAGAGATCTAACCAGAGATGGCAAAATAGTTCCATTTTCATTTCATTCAACTATGAATAAAGAATCTATAAGGATTAATTAAGGATCTATATAATTAAGGATCTATAATGTCACCAGTGTTTTTTCTGCCAGCAAGGTCGTATACCATAATAAAGATATAGAGGCTAATTTTCAGTAGTATAACACAATAATGTAGTGCTTGGGGAAATCTAAACTACACAGGAATTATTTCACCCTGATGCCTAGAAAAGTAAACAGCAGCTTTTAGCCTCACTCCTTAAGGCAATGGTGGTCTAAATTGCAGGGAAATCTTGTTACATAAAAAAGGCTACTCTAAAGAAGGCCAAAGACAAAGGGGAAAAAGTTTGAGTTCCTCCTGAGGGTTCTGCTTATATCCTAGGGGGTATTGCCTCAGCAGGAAAGTCAATATGGTCCCACTTCCCTCAGTGAAGAACAGGAGATGGAGTAAGAGAGGAAGAGAACTCGCTGCAATACTTCCATCTTTTGGAATAGGTATGATCCCAGCAAGACATTTCTTCTCTTGCTGGGAGGTTTAAGAGTATTCTTCTCAATTTCCCCTCATTTTCTAGGCCCAAATCCCTCACCCATTAAAGAACCAAATAGAGGCATGAGATCTCTCTTGCTAAGATGAAATAAAAATGACTGTAGTTCTTGGAAGCATTAATTTTTACTAAGCCCTCATCATACACAGAGAAGTGACCTGAAGGGTTAGGTAGCTTCTTCCTTGGCTCTGGACCTCAATCAGTTTATGAAGGTGGCCCTTAAGCTGCAGAGAAGGAAGGCATCCAGGAGCTGACTGAAGTATGGAGGCCTGCATAGGCCAGTGGCCTGAGGAGAAGGAGATGGCACTATGTCTGCAGAATCTCCATCCTTAGCCTGGTCCATGGCAGCTGTAGCTCTAGTCTATGTGCCTCTTACCCTCTCCCATTTGGGGACCAAGACTGAACATCTTAACCAGACAAGTCATTTTTTATCCAGCAGCATATGAGTGATGAGCTGAATCAACCAGGGTTATATCTCTTGAAAATCTTAATAAAGACATACACAGACTTTTGTTAACTCATGTTGGACAATGTAGAAATTTGAAAGCATAGAAAACCAACTGAAGGAAAGCAAGAAAGAAGAAAGAGCTGGAGAGAGATAGCAGATAACAAAGAAAGAGATTTTGGCTCCTAGTGGCTTTCCAGCTTCCTATTTCAGTTTTCAATAAAACCCAGCCTGACTTTCTGCCCTTATGTAGGTTGATGTATATTCCCCTACTTGGAAATAAAGCAGCCCTTACTGGAAAACGCTCCATGGTTCATCAGTACATAAGAAAAAGGCTTTGGGGTCAGACAGCCTGGGTCCGAATTCTATTTCTGCCACATACCACCTCTCTAGCTTTGGACCATCTATGACCTAGTTTCCTCCACAACAAAATGAAGCATCTAATATTCCTCTGCCACGGGCCTGTGAGGACTAATCCATACAAAGCACAGTATTTAGAACAAGAAAATACTGGATAAATGCTGTTCATTATTAACACTGCTTGACTGGTAATAGACTTCCCTTCCTCTCTCAAGACTTTGCTAATTATCTCCCAATACAATTCATTAAATTGAGAAATCAACCTCTCTAGTTGATAAGATGCATTTTTTTTTCTTTTTTTTGTGTGAGACGGAATCTCGCTCGGTCGCCCAGGCTCGAGTACAGTGGCGGGATCTCGGCTCACTGCAAGCTCCGCCTCCCAGGTTCACGCCATTCTCCTGCCTCAGTCTCCCCAGCAGCTGGGACTACACACACCCACCGCCACGCCCGGCTATTTTTTTTTTCTTTTTGTATTTTTAGGAGAGACGGGGTTTCACCGTGTTAGCCAGGATGGTCTCGATCTCCTGACCTTGTGATCCGCCCGCCTCGGCCTCCCAAAGTGCTGGGATTACAGGCGTGAGCCACCGCGCCTGGCCTAAGATGCATTCTTAATGCAAAGGTGTTCTGTGTTCTCACATTCAAAGACCTTGCTACCACCCCAGTGAATCAGCTGACTGATAATCTGAGAATAACATAAAGATATTACTTAAACAGTTAAATCTATACGAATCCTAGTTATCCATATCACAGACTTTAAGTTTTTTTAAAAAAATAACGGTGATGGATCAGCACGGTGCATTGTTCCAAATTAACATTTGCAAGGTAGCAGACCGAGTTTGGGAATTTATTTCATGGCTTGGGAATAAAGTGAAATTAACTGCAACATTGTAGGTGAACTATGCCCTGAGCTGTGTCTAATGAATACCATTGCAGAGAGAATAAGGAATTAAGTTTAGTTCAATATTTTTTAGTTGAGTCACAGAAGAGCAAATCTGCAAGACAGCATTTTTATTATCACTTACTTCATTCCTTGATGTTAAACATCAACTTTCCATGTTCAGAGTGTTAACTACTGTCTGTGCAACTGTATAGCCTATCAGTTTCACTTGGATGTATGCTCTGTGTTTTACTAGGTTATCAATCTAGTTAGCTCTCAATGGAATTTTTTTTTTTTTTTTTTTTTTGAGACGGAGTCTCGCTCTGTCGCCCAGGCCGGACTGCAGACTGCAGTGGCGCAATCTCGGCTCACTGCAAGCTCCGCTTCCCGGGTTCACGCCATTCTCCTGCCTCAGCCTCCCGAGTAGCTGGGACTACAGGTGCCCGCCACCGCGCCCAGCTAATTTTTTGTATTTTTAGTAGAGACGGGGTTTCACCTTGTTAGCCAGGATGGTCTCGATCTCCTGACCTCATGATCCACCCGCCTCGGCCTCCCAAAGTGCTGGGATTACAGGCGTGAGCCACCACGCCCGGCCTCTCAATGGAATTTTTATAGAATTTAGTTGATTGTGAAATTTTATTTATTTTTATTTATTTTTTTTTGAGATGGAGTCTCGCTCTGTTGACCAGGCTGGAGTGCAGTGGCGAGATCTTGGCTCACTGCAAGCTCTGCCTCCCAGGTTCACACCATTCTCTTGCCTCTGCCTCCCAAGTAACTGGGACTACAGGCGCCCGCCACCATGCCCGGCTAATTTTTTTTTGTATTTTTAGTAGAGACGGGGTTTCACCGTGTTAGCCAGGATGGTTTTGATCCCCTGACCCCGTGATCCGCCCGCCTCAGCCTCCCAAAGTGCTGGTATTACAGGTGTAAGCCACTGCGCCCAGCCGATTGTGAAAATTATATTGATAGAAACTACAGTAAAAAATGCATCACTGATAATATTCCACTTAAAATTCAGAGGTAGTAGCAGAGTTGAGAATTATCTAGATTCTGTTTCCTCTGGTTTGGATTACCATGTTAAAAATTGTGAGTACTTCAGATTTTAAGAGAATTCAACACTTTTAAATTCAGAATGCTAACATCTCTTTTGAACTGCTTAAAGCAGGCCGGGTGCAGTGGCTCACACCTGTAATCCCAGCACTTTGGGAGGCCGAGGTGGGCGGATCACGAGGTCAGGTGATCGAGACCATCCTAGCTAACACAGTGAAGCCTCATCTCTACTAAAAATACAAAAAATTAGCTGGGCGCGGTGGCGGGCGCCTGTAGTCCCAGCTACTCAGGAGGCTGAGACAGGAGAATGGCATGAATCCGGGAGGTGGAGCTTGCAGTGAGCTGAGATTGTGCCACTGCACTCCAGCCTGGGCGACAGAGCCAGACTCTGTCAAAAAAAAAAAAAAAAAAACAACAACAACAGAAAAGAAATGCTTAAAGCATTGGAGCTTCTCACCTATCTCAGTGTTCTGACAAATACAAGAAGTTTTTACTTCGTTCTAGTTAAGTTCCTTTATGTGTTTTAATTCCATTTTGTTTTCACTGCATTTTGCCTTTAGGGGAAATGGAAGAAGAGACAGGCAACACACTTTATATGATAGCCAATCTTTCTAAAATCCACTCAGAGTAATTTAGGAGAGGTCTGCTGGGCAAGGGGAGAAAAGTGATGACTAGTGCAACTCAACAGTCTTGTTGCTATGGGAGTAAAAATGAGAAAGATTAAATCAATCTCAAAAAATGCTATTTATTATTCTGAAGTATTTAAAAACTTTAATAAAAACACATAAATCTTTCCAATTTGAAATGGAAGATTCTCAAGAATGAGGTTTAAAAGTCAGCTAACTTTTTCTAAGCATAAAAAAATTCATCTCTGAATATAATTTTTGTTTTTGTCCAGTGATAGTATACGTGTGTACATATATCAGATATTTAAAAGAGGAAGAATTTGTTTATGCTTTCAAACTATTGAGGTACATTTTCATTATCCTATGTTAGCACCCTCTGTATTTCTGTTCTTTTACACGAGGTTTGCGTTAATGCAGGGGGTTTTTTGAGGGTGCATTCCTTTATATTATGTACTTCCACTTTATGTGACTTTGTTCAGAGTCACACTATATAATCACACCATATACATAAAAAATAACCATATAATCACAAACCAATTCTTATGAACCAAATTGGGCTTAATATTATGCTAGGTACATTGTAACTCAAAGGAGAGACCTTGGCACAGCCCTCTAGGAACTTATAGCAGGAAAACACTCAATGCATTAGATTTTCAAACAGGAGAGAAACTTAAAACCAGTTCAGCAAAGGTCAGTGAGTCATTCCCATCATTTACAGGTCAAGAGGGGGTATAATTAGCGGGAAGAGATAAGGCTGAGCATATAATTTGGATGGAGATGAGACAGTAGATCTCAAAGTCCTATCTAGGTAGTGATTGTTTTAGAGCAAATTTTTCTATTCCAGTGAAATATTTTATTTCTTTGATTTAATGAATTTAATTTAGCATATGCTATAGGCATAACACAGGAGGTGCCTGGAATGAGGGCAAGTATCTATCAGACTAACTTTCAATGTGCTATGGACTTCAATAGAAAACATAAGGATAACTCACACACAAAATAGTCATGTAAAGCTTTAGAGCTGAAAACATTGCGAGAGATCATGTCTTGTTGATCTAATAACATTACAAAGAATGATATAGTAAAGATCCTAAATGTAAAAGTAAGGAATACTGAAAATGAGGGCAATATATGTTTTATTTCATTATATGATTTGATGAAATCAGGAAAGGTCCCATGAAGAGATGAGACTTCCCAAAGAAGGAACTGAATGGCCAAAATCAAAGATGAGGAGTTTTCCAGGACAAATAATGATATATTCTCACCCCAGCAACATTTTAATAAAAGTTTTCAAGTGCAAACCACCTGCTGGATATTTGTTTCAGAAAGAGGGAGCATGGTCTTGTCCATTGTGTGTTTCTGACTTGAGAGAATGTGGATATTTCTATAACTACGAATGTGGTACTTGTCTTCCTGGTGATGGTTCCCTTCCCCCTGCCTGGCGTAGACAGTAGCCAGAAGTTTGGGAAGCGCTGCTACAGTTACAGTCTCGGGGTCTGTAATATTTTTTAAGGATTTGACAGAACAACCTATGCTTTCTTCATGGCTTAATGTTCAGAGTTTAATATGCAAATCTGTCACTATTAGGGAAATAAGCCTGAAAACAAGGTATGAACACAGGTGAGGGAAAAATCAAGAGAACCACGAAGAAAGGAAGCCACAATTAAAACTCACGTGTCACTTCAAGTGTCTGCCCTCATGGAGCTCACACTCTGGAATACAATGGAGGGTGAGGAATGTTATCATAAGAGTAAGGCCACAAGGCTGCGTGGGATGACAGGAGGGAGGCTCAACCTGTACACATTGAGAAGTATCAGTGAAGGATTCAAGTGCAAATAGTTTATTTGGAAAATGATACCAGGAAACACTAACATGAAAATGGGGGAGTGAGACAAACAGATGAAAGCCAAATAAAAGATCACTACAGAGTGAGTTATCACTGTGAGCAAGTAGAGCTTTATCTCCTAAAAATACCAGGAGTTGGTGAATACACCTCAGAGCTTTCTCACTTGTGGGAAGGGAAAGGGGAGCTGGAATTATGCATCATTATGGTTAGGAATTTTTTTTTTTTTTGAGATGGAATCTCACTCTGTCACCCAGGCTGGAGTGCAGTGGCACCATCTCGGCTCACTGAAACCTCTGCCTCCCGGGTTCAAGCAATTCTTCTGCCTCAGCCTCCTGAGTAGCTGGGACTACAGGAATGCACCACCACACCCGGCTAATTTTGTATTTTTAGTAGAGATGGGGTTTCACCATCTTGGCCAGGCTGGTCTTGAACTCTTGACCACATGATCCACCCGCCTCTGTCTCCCAAACTGCTGGGATTACAGGCATGAGCCACCGACCCTGGCCAGTTAGGAATTTTTTTAGGGCAACTTCCAGGGCCAGGTGGGGAAAAGGTTAATTTCTGTTCCACTTGTGAGCTGAAAAGCCCTCAGGCAAACAGTTGCAGGTGTTTGTAGTTGGAAGCTTTTGAGTTGGTCATGCATGAAAATGGTGAGTGCCAGGTATAGGGGGCATCGGCAACATCTGCTACAACGTCTAACAATTGAAGACCTGCACTACTGGTATGACCGTGATATGGTGCAACTGGTTTGGAAAACAGTTGAGCATTATCAAGGAAAGTTGAAGATGTGCATACACATGACCTCGTAATTCCACTTTTTAAAATATAACCAAGACAAGCTAGCTTATATGAACCAGAATAAATGTTAAAAAAAAAAAAAATAGCCATCCCAGCATTACTGTAGTAGTCCCAAACTGGAAAAAAATCTTAAAAGTTCACCAAGAGTAGAATGGAGAAGTAAATTGTTATATATTCATAGAACAAACTAAGCAAATCAGACTTACAAGAAAAGGATCTACCTGAGAAAGTAGAAGAGTTATCACTTCATAAAACATAGTGCAAGAAAGGGAGAAAATCTCAAACACCTTGAATCTGTAATCTAATTGTATCTCTAAGAATAATGCATCCATAAAACAAGAATTAGTGGTCATTAAAATGTATCATTTTGAAGATAACAGGGAGTTCTTAAAGATGAAAAATCAAAGTGTCTATTCAAAAGTCACTGGAAACAGTGAAGAGCAATCTGGGGATTGCAGAAACCAACTTTCTGAACTCAAAAACCCTGAAATAGTCCTGGTGCTGTGGCTCATGCCTATAATCCCAGCTACTTAGGAGGCTGAGGTGGGAGGATCGCTTGAGTCTGGGAGGTCAAGGCTGCAGTGAGCCATGATCTCGCCACTGCACTCCAGCCTGGGTGACATAGTGAGACCCTGTCTCTCTAAAAAATAAAAAATAAATAAACAACTCTGAAATAGAAGAGAACATAAAGAGAAGAAATACACTAAACACAGTTGACTTTTATGAACCTTTTCAAAGGCAGACTATATTGCTGAAAGACCTGCTTTTAAAAGATCAGGTCTCAGAGACAGCCCAACTTGAGTTTCTAATTTGTTCAGAGCAATAGGACTGACAGCAACATCTCTCGTATTTCATGTTTTATATTTTGAGGTATTTTGAGATACAGTGACATTTTATTGATTCTCATAACAACCATGCATAGTAAATAAGATGGTAATTATTAACCCTCATTTTAATATGAGAAAGCAGAGAACCAAACAGGATAAAGTAACTTGCTAAAGGTCATACATTAGCCTGGGTTTCTTTCTGGGGATTGCCCTTGGCTGAGGAAAGGCTCCAGCCCAAAACATCAACCCCTCCCCAGAGCAGCCTGCATCTAACTACTGGCCTATGCAAGGGGTGCCAAAGCCCAGCTTTATTTCCTTAAAATACTTTATCATGAGTGAAATTAGCAGGTAAAAGTATAAAAGCTCTTTTAAACTATTCCATGTATAACTAGGAAGGTATGTGTGTGTGTGTGTGTGTGTGTGTGTGTGTATATATATATATGTGTGTGTATATATATATATATATATATTTTTTTTTTTCCTCCATTTGGAGAAATTGCCATAACAATAGTCCTGAGCTTTAACTTTCTTACTTGCTGGAATTCGCTATCATCTTTATGATGTAGTAAAAGTAAAATAAGAGCAGGTAATGTAAATTAGCTATGAGTATTTTTAAATTGGCAGATTTCTGCAAGCCTAAATGGTCATATGTACAGGATTCTCCTCATCTCATGAGTAAGATTTGCTGGACTTTTTTTTTTAGACGGAGTCTCGCTGTGTCGCCCAGGCTCCACCTCCTGGGTTCACGTCATTCTGCTGCCTCAGCCTCCAGAGTAGCTGGGACTACAGGCGCCCGCCACCACACCCGGCTAATTTTTTTTTGTATTTTTAGTAGAGACATGGTTTCACCATGTTAGCCAGGATGGTCTCGATCTCCTGACCTTGTGATCCGCCTGCCTGGCCCTCCCAAAGTGTTGGGATTACAGGCATGAGCCACCGTGCCCGGCCGAGATTTGCTGGGTTTTTAAACATTATTTTTTTTATTCAATCATTTATTTGCATATTCCCTCAATCATTTATTTATTCATTTTTGGTTAGTTCCTTTGATAATTTCTAATTTCTGTAAATTAGAAATTTACAGAATTTCTAGTTCAATGCTAATTCAATTCAAGCATTCTAATTCAATGCTTTCCCCAACATATAATACATTGTATCCTTGAGCAAATGACTGTACTTCCTAGAGCCTTGGTTTTCTAATCCATAAAATGGGAATGACACCCATTTAATACAGGTATTATAATGAGTTAATAGATACAAAGCACACAGCACAGTTTCTAAATATAATAGTAAAAAGAAACTCCTACTTTGATTTCTTCATTTCTTTTTAAAACTCAATCACTGAATAAGTTTTTATTTATTGCCCAGTTATTCCTTAATAATTCATCCCAATTAGTGTAGGATCATTCCAGTTTCTGCTATTCTAGATAATTATTAGTGGCTTTTCCTCTCACTCTCAAAAATGCCCTGGTTTCAATGCTAGAGTCACACCATCAATGACCCACTCAGTGATGAGGAATAAGCCAGAGGACGTTCTATAAACGTCTTCCACACTTAGATTATTTTGACTCATAGATGGGGCAGCTTGCAGGAAATTAAGATTCAAGCAGTGAAAATGCATGTTATACGATAACCTTCCATTCCTAAAGATAACACATCAGCAGCCACTGGGAATTTCTCTCTGGCTTCTGAGAAAGGAGGACCCACAAAACAGAGGCAGATGGGAAAGGTTAAGACATTTTAGAAAGGACATTTGTTGGAGGGGAGACATTATGAACCCTTTTAAAGTACTTTCTTTTTACACTCTATTTTTATCTTTCCTTATGCATGTAAGTGGTCTTTTCCTGAGCCATCATTAGTAATAACTGGCTCTCCCACACCTACTGATGGTTTGGTACCTTCCGGATGAGAAGTTGCTAGCTCATGCTGTAGAAGGGAATGCAAACAAGGATTAATCTGCTCTTATTTTGAATTCCTTTGGCATATACTGCAATTATTCTTGGAGTTACCATCTGATAAATTGATGAGATTACCAAAGGTTATTGAAATAAGGACAGAGACAATTATATTTGGGTTTACAGAGGAGAAACTCCAAAATGGAGGCAACAATGTAGCCATGATCCCTACAAGAAGAAAAACATGTTTTGGTCAAAATCTAAAAGTTAATACAGCAAAAAGGGGCTAGGAGATCATCTATCCTCCTTGTATTATGGGAAAGAATAAAAGTCACATGACATGGAAATGCGGGAATTTATCCAGTCTATTGCCTAACAGAGAGGTGACTTCATCAGAGTTTACCTGTCTTAGGGAAAGACTGGAGAATAGAGCCTAGATAGATAGATGGGTTTCCTTAAAATCTTAAGGCTTAGTTTTCCTTTCACTTCCCCTTCTCCTTCCCTTTCATTTAAGGTTCAAATTAAAGAATGGTGCAGTCCCCCTCAGGATCATAAAGAGAACCAGGGAATGCAGCACACTTACTGATTTATAGCTTAATTTGAAACAAATCCCTGAACCAGGAAAGCCTTATCACCCTGTGTACAATTAACTTTCAAGTGGATCTTTTAAAGCTTTTCCCAATGAGAATGACCCTAGAAAAATAACATTTTACTATTTTAAGAGGTGTGTGAAAGATGAACAGATGCCAGAGACAAGAGTCAGCTCAAACCAGGTGATGTCCGTTCATTTCCTAACTAAACCATTCCATCAGGTTAGCCAGCCTTCGTTCTCCTTTGCGATGATAAGAAGAATAAATGTTGATACAAACCAGAACAAAAGCAAAAGCAAACACACACACAAAAACTATCTTTAAAATCTCTAAATTGGTATACAGGGGCTTCGTGGCATATGCTTTACAAGCAGAAGCGCTCTTAACTACAAGGAAAATACCCTTGATTTCAAGGGGACGGCGGCACGTGGATACCAAACAAGTTCCACTTGGAGCACGTTAATTAGGTATATCTTGCATTAACGAAAAATTATCTACTGCATGAACAACCATTTGGATTCACAAATATGTGATTACTAAGACATTTAGGGTATTAAGGGAGAAACACGTGCATGTTGCTTATGTAAGTGTAATATCACCCTGGCACTATTTCAAGAACTTTGTGTAGATTGATTCGTTTCATCCACATCCCTTGAGATGGGTGGAATTGTTACCCCACTTTATAGATGAGCCAACTGGGGCTCAAACAGTTTAAATGACTTGCCTGAGGTCATACAGCTAATAAGTGGGAGAGTAGAAATTTGAGCTCAGGCTGTCCAGTTTCAAAGTATATACACCTTTCACCACAACATTATATACTGTCTATACATCTGCTCCACATAAAATCAATTGCAGACCATTTGTTGTTATGTGATTTGAGGGCTAGTTGAGGAAGCGATGACTTTCTTCTCTTGATTGTATACAGTAGATTCTGAAAGGCTGACACTTTCAAGTGTAAGGACAAGGATGCATGGTGGGTAGACAAATGAAGTGTATCTGTGTGTGTGAAGTGATAAGGACAATAGAATACAAAATTTTTTAAATCTGTTTTTTCTATTTTGCATTTTTAGTAGAAATGGGGTTTCACCATGTTGCCCAGGTTGATCTCGAACTCCTCTCCTCAAGTGATCCACCCACCTTGGCCTCCCAAAGTGCTGGGATTACAGGCGTGAGCCACAGCACCTAGCTGAACACAAAATTTTAAATAACATTTTAAACTAGATTTAATTTTGCTTCCAATGGGAAATCATAGAGTGCTCACCATATATACACACATATATTTGTGTACGTGTGTGTGCGTGTGCGTGTTTGTGTGTGTATGTGTGAGTGTGTGTATATACACGGGAGATATTAGATTAAATAAAGTTTTTTGAGTACAGACAATTCCCATGTTAAGACAACTTGATATAGACAGTCAGTATCTTATGGAATTAAAAAAATCATTTAGTTATATTTTGAACATACTGGTAGAGAGAATTGAAAAGATGATGTTCCGTTTGGGCATTTAATTTTGCTGCATCAGAATAAATGTCTCTAGTGTGTGTATCTGTTTTATTGACGGCTTAACTATGACTATTTAATTTGTTTTCCAACTTTTTATTCGAGTTTTGATCCAAATCTCAGGATGAAACAGATGTTTAATTAGCTTAGAAGTAAAATTCTCCGAAGATGGAGACTTTCAAAACATCGGTTTTTCATGGTTTCTATCCACAACATAACACAATTAGTGCACTTGAAAAGACTCACACTCTCAAGTTTTAATCAGCTTGGGCTGAGTTTCAAGGTCTTGGTGAAGCCTGAAGCCAAGCTCCTCCTGCCCAGTTTCAGGTCAGGTTACAAAAGTTTCACAATGTTCTGGTTTCTAGGCCCCTTCTCACCCCGATGCTAATAACTGGAGAAAAGCCTCAGCTTCTAAGAGGTGAAACTGGCATTCCCTCCTAGATGGAGAATGAGCTTCTCGGAGCTATCCTTGATTTACACGGGTAACAGGGGAGGAATTGGGTGACAAGGGTGGATTTATGCAGCCCACTTCTGATCATCATATCAACTGTATCCGTGTGATCAGATAAGGAATGCAGCCAGCTCCTCCAGTCCACAACTTACAACTAAATCAAATCTTCATTTTATGAAGACAAAAGCAAATTCAATTAGAAACTCTAAGAGCTCTGATGGATCAATCAGGTCATATACAATTAGCTCTAATGGTACCTCTCCAGAGGTACATTCCTCACCTGCAGTCAAGGGCTACTCAGAGAGGTGTAAAATTCTTTCTTGACTTTGAAAACATCAAAGCAATTTCTTCTAATCTGAGCTTTATAGCTAGCACTGAGCTAGTGGCTAAGGCTCCAACACCAATAAAGAACTGAGGATGTGAAATGAAGAAATTCCATCTAAATTTTCTAAAAGAGCAGATGGTGATGTTGAATTTCATACACATTTAACTTGTAGAGTGTAATTCCCAACTGCTAATTGTCCCAAGAAATACCAAACTTGCATCCCAGGTTGCAAAGATGATTCTGTAGGCATTTCAAGAAAGAGACATAGGGAATAGCCAAATACGGCATTTCAATTGTCTATTAGGGAATTAACTTGTAAAGATAATTAAATACAAGCTAGTTGATGGTAACAGTTTGTCCCTTGCATCTGGAATGAAAATGTGGCTTCATAGTCCTTTTAGATAATCAGGCCCATAATTAAGACTCTTTAAGAAATAATAGGAGAGGGAGAGATAATTTTTTAAAGATACTGTACATAATCAAGAAAGAGCAAAGAAAAATTGAAGTCCTTTCAGGGGCAGAATGTCCAGTGAAGCAGTTGGCATATAACCTGGGAATGAGATTTAGTGTTTAGCCTCAAGTAAGTGTCTGGACAGAAACTGAACAATCATTAATTACTCCCAGACTGGATGTTTGCATCTGTAAATGAAGAATTTGGATTAGAGAGATCTCCAATAGCCCCTCCAGTTCAGAGACATTGATGTTAGGGTATTAGAAAGCACTGCAGGAAGCTTGCACATGGCCATATTTTCTACAGTACCTCTTCCTTGCAAAGCCAGAAACAAAATATGAAAGTGAACGTTTCTATTTTTATGCTAAAATGGAAACAGAGGTGGGAAGGATAAAAGGAATCCATCATGCAATAGAAACAGTTTTTGTTTTCAATTTCAAACCCAATAGAAATTCTAGCCCTCCAAGGATATCAGGAGGCTGTAACCTTAGCCCTCTACTTACCTGACCTTTAGCAGCAGGGAATAGGCAGCAGCAATAGGGCTTGGAAGTCTACTTCCTAAATCAGTCTTATTCCCTCCAACTTCTGCCCTTTCGGTGAATTATTACACCACCTGGCACCAGGAATATTATTGACTCTGGAGCAGGGAGCTTAATTTTGCAATAAATTTTACAGATTGCTAACTGAAAAACAAGAACAAAAATGAACTACTAGGTAGCTGAAACCGCTGACTCTCACTGCTCCTTCCTGCCCCTGGGTAATTTATGGCAGCAGAGCTGGGCTCCCACACTGCGGCTGCCACTCTGGCTTGGCTGCTCTGCTCACCGCGCGTAGGGCAGTGGGCCAAGGAAGGAAGCCATCGCCCCTTGTCTGTGGATTTCAAACCACACTGCGCATGCTGGATTTCCCACAACCACCCCTGCAGTCTTAGCTCCTAAAATCTCAGAGGTAAAAGTTAGTGGGAACCTTGGGGTATAGCCATAATGTTTAGTAGAAAGAGAGGAAAGAAAAATGCTTTGCAATAGATTGGAACTTTCATTCTATCTCTTCTAGGCTTTTCAGTTCAACATATATTGATGGAACACCCAGTGGATGTTAAGTACTGGGTTAATGTGCTAGAAATTAAAAAGATGTATAAGGCGTGATTCCTAATTGTATCATTATTGCTGTGTAGAAAACCACTCCAAAACGTAATGCTCATGAATTCAGCTTTTGTGTCAGCTAGGGGCTGGCTAGTCTAGAATAGCTTTGGTGAGGATGACTTGGTTCTGCTTGAAGTAATCTCTCTTCCACCATCAGGTTAGCCCAGACATATCTGCCTGTGGTAGCAGGAGTCTAAGAAACTCAAAATGCACAAACACTTTCAAGCCTCTGCTGAAATCAACTTTGTATCATTCCATTGGCCAAAAGAAGACACATAGTCAAGTCCAAGTGTGGAAGGGACACTACTAAAGGAGTGAATACAGGGACACATGAAATGTGTAATCCCTAGTGCAAATCAGTCCCCCACAATAACCCTGAAAAGCTTGCAGTACAGAGAGGGAGGCTGGCATGTAGGTACTATCCCTGCAATAACATAGGATGGCACTGGAGAAATAGGGTCAAATGGAAAAACAACTCATGTAGCTTGGCTGGGTGAGACACTGAGGCAGGAAAGCTTGCCTGCAGGGGAGAATGCCTCTATGTTGAGTTTTGAAGGATGTGTGGGAGAATATGCAGGAATATAGCACAGAGAGGAGCAAATGAGTAAGAGAAGTGATCCATAGAAGGCAGGTATTTGTCACATATAACACAATGTCTACAGGATAGTTTCAGTCCCCACTATATAGTGTATGTTTACCTCAGTGACCTTCCAGAAACTACTTCATTTCTTGATTATTTACTTCTATTTGTTTTCCTTCTTCTCCTCCCATTTCTTCTCTGTTTCCTTAAAGAGCTCCTTTTTCTTTGGCTTATTTTACAAGTTGATGATTCTAGCTCATCACTGCCCATATACAGTGACTTGCCAGAATGAAGATTATTCTTAAATTTCTCTTTCTGCCTAGATAGCTCCTCTAATCCCAACTTAAACATCTCAATGTCTTCTGGATAGTTTCCCAAGGATATATTCCAAGGGTTCATTAAGCTCATTATCTTTCTCTCAGTTTTGTTTATTCCCCAACAACAGTTCCAGTTGTAATTGTTGACAGCAATATCTGCCCAGTCCCAAGTGAGAACACTGAATTCTATTTTTTATCTTCTGCTTTACTCGCATTGTACCTCACATCCAGTCAATTTCCAAGTCCTGCTGAAGTTACCCTGAAGGATATCCCTTTCACAAGTTCATTACCATCAAGCTTTGAGTATGATTTATCTGAAATGCAAATCAGACTTGCAAACCCTCTGCCTAAATCTTTCCATGATTCCCCGAATTAGCTATAGTAGCTTAGCAAGGCCCAAGACACCTGCCTGAAATGACCCCTATAAATTTTGATGTTCTGTTCCTTGAGTGCAGTAACACTCCATATTCTGCAAATAAAACCAGTACCCAGAAAGTCAAACTATTTATTTCATGTACCCTTGCTCACACATACTTGATATCTCTTAAACTCTATGCCTTGGTGTCATTTTTTATATTATGATCCTTTTAAAAAACATTTCACCTTGGTGACTGCTAGTCTACATGTTTTAAAACCCCTCATTTGGAAACAGACAACCTACAGAATGGAAAAAAATTGCAATTATGCATCCAACAAAGGCTAATATCCAGAATCTACAAAGAACTTTAAGTCAACAAGAAAAAAACAAATAACCCCATTAAAAACTAGGAAAAATGACATGAACAGATGTTTTCCAAAAGAAGACATACAAGTGGCCAAGAAATATATGAAAATTGTTCAACATCGCTAGTCAGAGGAATGTAAATCAAAACCACAATGAGATACCATCTCACACCAGTCAGAATGGCTATTAAAAAGCCTAAAAACAACAGATGTTGGCAAGGAGTCAGAGAAAAGGGAACATTTACACCGTTGGTAGGAATGTAAGTTAGTACAACCTTTATAGAAAATAACGTGGAGATTTCTGAAAGAACTAAAAATAGAACTACCATTCAATCCAGCAATCCCACTACTGGATATAGACCCAGACAGAAGTAAATCATTATATAAAAAGGATACCTGCTCTCCTATGTTTTTCACAGCACTATCCACAAAAGTAAACATATGAAAGCAACCTAAATGTCTATCAATGGAGGACTAGATAAAGAAAATGTAGCATATACATATATACACACCATGGAATACTATTCAGCAATAAAAAAGAAGGAAATCACAACTTTTGCAGCAACATGGAACTGAAGGCCATTGTCCTCAATGAAATAACTCACACAGAAAGTCAAATATCACATGTTCTTATGTATAAATGAGAACCAAACAGTGGATATACATGCTCATACAGAGTGGAATAATAGACACTGGAGACTATGGAGCCTGGGAGGGTGAAGGTGGGTGAGGTTTGAAAAACTACCTATTGGGTACAATGCACTATTCGGGTAATGGGTACACAAAAAGCCTAGACTTCACCATTATGCAATATATGCATGTGAGAAACCTGTACTTTTACCCCCCTAAATACATAAAAATAAATAAATCAATAGACAAATACAATAAAAATCACTCATTTGGGAATAGAAAGCTTTCTTTGGGTGATATACTGTTTGGAACGATAGCAATCATCTTGGATCACACAGAAGCCAAACCTTTGCTCTCCTCAGATCTGCGAAGCAAAGCCAACTGCAGCATGTATTTATGATAGTAATTTCATGCCTTCTTCCCTACCTCTTAATGATTTAAAAGAAGATGAATGCAAAGCATGAAAACATAGAAAAAAAAAATATCTCCACTGAAAATCTTGTCACATAGGATTTTGAAGGAGATAGTTTAGGACAAAGATAAGAGGCCTCCAAATTAACCCTGAACCTGACAGATGAACATTAATGTATTTGAGAAGAAGAAAATCTTAAAGATCCAAGTGATAGATTTATTTATCAAATCATGCATTTTTGTTTAAACATTTTAGAAAGTGGTATCAGAGCTTCTTTTTTGTTTGTTTTTGATAAAATCAATGATTTTCCCTGGAGCCATTAGAGTTGAAACTATGATCCTATGAAATCTTGCCTAAGCTGAATTCAGGAAAATCTAAACATCTGTTCAATTTTATTTTACCTGTGCTGTTATTTAGGAAGGGCTCGTTAGTGGTGTTTTTCTCAAGCCAATCCTCACTGAGAAAATTAAGCTCTAATCAAGGGCTGCACTGTCCGATACAGCAGCCATTAGTCATATGCATCAGTTTAAATTAAATAAAATTTAAAATGCAGTTCTTTCCTCACGCTAGCCACATTTCAAGCACTCAAATAGCCACATGTTGCCAGTGGCTACCATATTAGCCAAATTTAGATCATTTCCATCACCGAAGAAAGTTCTGTTGCACAGCTCTGCCCTAGGATATGTTTATAAATACGAAGGAGAAAATAAAGGAAATGGATTATATTTTTTATTTTTACACCAAGTATACAAGTGCATGACCTTCATATACCCCTTACTAAGTAAGATTCTGGGCAGCAAAGGTTATATATCTTTTTGGAGCCACGGAGGTGTGGGAGAAGATAGCCTGTTAGCAAGAGGTTTTGACCCTATTACAGGAAATGGGAGTCGCTGCCTGCCACATCCTGAAAACAGATTGGTCTTTGGTACATCATTTTGATTCAAGTAGAAAGCCCTTTCGTTGCTCTGCTTTTTGTAAATATTATGGAAATGATGTCTAAGACATATCACCACCGTCCTCTATGATTTTCTCCATCTGTAGTTACTATTATCAGTACCACTAAATATTCTGGCACAACCTACTGCACCCTGAATACTTGCAAAGTAAGCAAACAGATTTCACAAATAAAATATTTACGTCTCCACAGTGACCAACAGAACCTGCACATAAGTTATCCTTGGATTTTCAAGACTTAAAAATGTTAAGAATTTCATTGAATCATAACATCGATTCGTTTTCTAAGTGTCCAATTTTTTCACACTGCTTGGTAATAAATCTCTGATCACAGTTTGGCATAAAAGAGATTGTGTTTGGTCAAAGTCAGAAATAAAGCACTGAACTGCCACCATTGTTTCACCTGATTGCAGGCAATAAAAACAAAAGAGAAAACATACACAAATAAAAATAATGTGCACTTACAGTGCTTGGACTACGTCCCTTGTAAAATTTGTACATAAGAACTGAGAACTCTGACCATAGGTTTTACTCTCCAAAGGAGTCATTTTAGATCAAATAATCTCCCTAAACTTTCCAGTTATTTTTTCAACTGGGTATCTCTCTCATTCCTTTGGTGTTTAATTTTAACTCAAAGTTAAATATGTTTGAGTTTCTGGGCCCATCATCAATGAAAACTTCCTTAAAATATTAATTGGAAAGGCAAGAGTGCCCTAGGTATGCATATCAGGAGGTAGTACCTGGGATATTTGTGACAAGATTTTGACACTGTGTGCTACACGATGGTGAGGCTTTTCATTCCTTTCCCAGAAAAGCACCATGCAAGTTCTCATAGGACTCAGAAATCTGGACATCAGAGAAAAGAGAACCTGCAGTTCTCACCAGGGACTCAATGACCATCCACTGCCAGGCACTATTTGCCAAGGTACCCAGCAAAGCCATCAAGCTCTCAAGCTTGTGCTGGAGTCATCAGCGGCAGGAACCGCTCCAGTAGCAGAAGCCAGCTCACATCCAGCTATACTCAGCCCAGACTTCCTAACGGTATCACATCATAAAACCATCGTGCATCTGGCACATATTTAAGGCCAAGTTGGCAGTATTTGATATGAAAAAGAAACCAAAGACTGAATTAGCATCCCACACGGTTGTTTTTGCAAGTCATAGACATAGTGCAGAGGCATGTGGAGTGGAGGCCACAAGACGCCCACGAACCTTTCCTTAAATGAAAGCTGGGCTGCCTAGAGCCAATGAACCCTTGGAAAAAACAAGCCAGCAAACAAACAGAAAACTCACAAAAACAACAACCAAAACCTCATGCTTTGTTGCCTTAACTTTCGCTTGTCCCAGGGAAGATCTTGTTACCTGGAGACTCTTTTTTTGGCTTACGTGGAACAAGTATCAGGACTATCCTTCAGATGGAAACTTAAGATAGAAAAAGGATCTACCTCTTTCCTTAACCTATAATTCCAAGTCACTTTTAACTCCGGCTTCCACAGTGAGTGAGGTCTCATCTGAGCAAGTCTGGAATGTTGAGGGGAAACCCAGCTTTCAGAAAACAGTGCTTTGCACTAGAACACAAATTGATCATTTACAGGGGGCTTTCTAACTGCATTCCTTCTCTGGAGCATCACCTTCCTGAACACTGAAGGAATGATTGGAAAGTTGTTTTGAGAGCACAGAACAGGAAGGTGGAGGAATGAGTACAAACAGTTTTAAAGGATGTCTAATTAATGTAGACCATGACATAGCTATGTTGTGGTAACTAGAGTTACTGTAGCTATCTTATTTTTGAAATCAAATTCTGGTAGCATAGTCCGATAATATTGTACAAATATTACAAACATTTATAATCAGAAATTTTCCAGAAAAGCAGGAATCTATGTGCTTCTTTGAAAGTAAACAAGAAAACCCAGATATATTAGAAACGTCATTCCAAGTCAGACAGAATACAGAAGCCACAAAAAATTAATAAGTCCAATAACAAAGAAAAAAATCAATGAAATCAAATTGTAAAAAAAAAAAAAGCCTGTATGTGGAATGTAGCATAGTCTCAAAATTACTATTTCCTCCTTAACTTTCCTCATACTTTCCACTCATTTGATTACTGCAAAATACTTGACAAATAGCAAATTTTTTGAACTTAAACATCACGCCCACAAATTAATGATACTGAATTAAAAGAATGATCTTTAAAAGATATGAAAAAGACAACTTTTGCAGGAAAATAAATGCAAAAAGCAAATAAGCTTATAAGATGATGTTCAAAACCATTTTTAAAATGTCAATCAAAACAACGAAATAAAAATAAAAATGTTCACCAAAAAGATTGTCAAAAATTAAAATTTCTGAGATGCCACAGTGTTCTGCATAACTGGGGCCCCTGTAAACATTAACATTTTTGGAGGTCAATTTGACAAAATTGAGAGTTAAAAATATATGTTCTCTTCCACCTAGAAATTTTTCTACTAAGAATTTAACACATAGTCATGAAAGTATCCCCCAAGATATATGTAAACAGTGATCATTTTAGCATTATATGTAACAGAAAAAATTGTAAGCAAACTAAATGTCTAGCAATATGGGACTGATAGATATCTGTGTATCTGTACAAGAAAAATCTACAGCATGGTCTAAAGAATGGGCTATACCCATGTCCTGAGATATTAGGTCAAACTAGCAAAACAGTAATTTCATATGGTTCAACCTAGAAGAAACGTGTTCTAGACGTATTATTAAGAGGGGGAAAGTAAGATGTATCACTATTTGGAAAAAATATGTTACTGTAAAGTGTAAATCATTATTTGTATTTTTTTAAAGTATGCATATGGGTGAAAGTGTATACTCACTACTCCCAGGAGTATACAAGAAATATTTAACAGTGACTATGGAGTTAGGAGCGCGGGGAGTATTGCTATTTCTCATCTTGTAGCTTTCTCTACAGTTAGATTTTTTAAACTAATTGTACATAATACTTTTACCAATAAATAAATAAAATCCTGCTGTCAAGTTTGCTAAAATGCTATTCTGCGAGAAGGAATTAAACCAGGCTTCAGTTTAAAAGAGCTTGTCATCTGGTGAATGGCAGGGCCACAAAAGAAGCTCATTACCATCTCCTTCAAACCCAATGAAAGGGGTAAATTTGGTCCTTGAGCATAAACAGTAATTATCCATGCATTTCCCTTGCAACTTCTTTATAAAGATTTCAAGAGAATGAATTACAGTGGATTGAGTTTCATGTAGCAGTGTTTGCCCAATACAGGTGAGAGTCTGAGCTGTCTTTGATCCAGATGGCATAAATATACAAAAACTGCAACAGCCAGGGCACATTTCTCATGAATTCCTAAACCCACCAAAATATAAAATTTACCAAGGGAGGTAAAATTTCCACATGGTAAAATTCCCTTTCTTTTCCATGTGTGGCTCAGGAGAGCAATGCCTTCTATCTTGAAAATAGATATGAAATAAAATGCATAGACAAATCTTCTGGTTTTAAAATAGATTACTTGTGATCGAGCTTCTCTTTTATCATTTGGGATATTTTAAAACTTTTACTTAAAGATAAGTTTAAGCTTATAGAAAAGTTGCAAGAATAAAAATACGCTCATATAATCTTTATCCAGGTTATGTATTGTCCCATTTGCTTTATTTTTTAAGGATTGTAAAAAATCAATTAGGTTTTTTAAGGAAAAAACCTAATCCTACTAAATGAGTTTGGAGGCCTTGATCCAGTAGTGCCTCCTCTGTTATTCCCTTTTTTCTGATTGTAAATAATTTGTAGTTGGTCACGTTACTGTCTTAAGATAGCCCTTATGCCTTCTGGAGCCACCATTTCATCAGCACAAGGGTGGTTTTTTTCTCCCTATCTTTTAATGCTTTCATCTTGGAATTAAACTGATGTTTTGTAAATAGGGCATACCTCATTCGTTTTGTAAGTAAGGCATACCTCATTCTAAAATATTTTCTTTTTTTTTAAAAAAAAGCATGTCTTTTGATAACCCATTTTATTACATCCCAGTGTCAAAATTCCCCAAATTTCTTTTCACTGGTGACCAAATTGCAAGAAGAGCTAATGCACTTGATCATGCATCCTAAATGCAAATCATTCCTCATGTCATCTATAACATATAAGGGGAATATATCACTTATGTGTGTATTCTTAAGATTTAGAAGGAATGATTTGCACATGAAGATGTCAGCAAACGAATATCCAGGCATACAATGATTGCTTAATAAAATAACTGTTAATTGATAAATGGCAATGCTTAAAAGTTACAGGTAGGGGTATTTAGTAAGAATTGTATGCATCTGAACATTAGTTTACTTAACTTATAAAAGTAAGTCCAAGTTTCTAATATTATCTAATCACAAACTTCTATCTCTTATTTGACATTTAATATAGGACATAAAATATTTTTAAGAGACCTATGAATTTCTAATCATGTACTTATTTGGTCAAATAATTGTATGTGCTTTTGAGACTTAAGCAAAAGTTTAAGTGTTCTGGGATGTATTAAAAGGGTTGAAAGGTGAACAAGAACCCAGAAAAAATGCTTAGGAAATACTAGAGAAACAATCACACGGATTATAATGCTAAAATTAACAATTGATGACAACAAAGGCTTTTAAGTAAGAGAACACTTGGAACTAAAAATAAGAATGCCATAGGAATTAATAATAGTGTCAGAGATGAATAATCCACAAGTTTGATTATGAATATGAATTTGCATATGTGACTGTGGAAGGCTATGATGTGAGAAATATATTGAAGTTTTGAGTGGTACAAAACAATTCAAAACAGAAATACTCTAAATACTGCCATGCTGCACAGCTCTCATCTGACCCACTGCCTGACATCTCTAAGTTTTTAAAAGCAGCTTATAGGAATAAGATTGCTGAAGATAAGCCCTTTAGAACATAACTGAAAGTACAAGCAGGCAAGGCATTGCCAGGGGTAGACCCCATCCCCAGAATCCAGTTATGGCCATCTGTACTTTGCTTTCCCAAAAGTTAGATCATTGTATTCACAAGGTGTTTAGTATCAAAAGGCAGGAAGTATACAGCACTGTAAACAAATGAACACATATGAAGAGTTAACCTTTTATTAATAACTATTGACAAGTAGTAATAGTGAATTATAACCATCACTAAAGCACTGTTAATTTATTGTCCTTTTGCAATGACTGTGATATAGAACCACATAGTAAGAAGACAAACCTTATAAGCTACCATCATTAAATTTAAATATTTAGGGAAGCATTGTTCTTCAAATTAGCACCTTGGAATTATATAAAATGTGAAATTAACAATAAATTATTATGCATAAATACTAACTACATGTTATGTAATATTAAATAGAATATATTGTTATTAATTCTAACATTAATTTTCTACCCACTTATTCTACATTGTTTAGAGACACTATCTTTTATATTTATCAAAACAACTCTAAAATATAGTAACTAGCACTTTGGGAGTACCCAAAATGTACTAAAAATGATAGCAATAAATTGTCATTTTGATGATTAATTCTACCATTCACTTTGTGCCTATTTTTTTTTTTGCCAGATATTACAGTAGGGACTTTATAAAACACTATATTTATTAATCATCAATAAAACCCTACACAACAGTAATTATTATCTTACAACTGAAAAAACTGAGACTCAGAAAAATAAACTGCCACATCCAAGAACTCACAGTCTATAGCTGATGGCACAAACATCTTATTGTTTGATAGAACCACTTTGACTTAATTCAATTATACCACCTCAGATCCACTTTTGGTATTGCCTGAACTAGCTGCAGAATAAAATTAGACTTTTTATTGTCACACTGTCCTTTGGTGCTCTCTTTTTCCATCCCACACTCATTTTTTGCAGCGGGTTCCAGGGAGATCTGTCTTGCATTCATTCCACACCTCCCTTCCCGTGGAAGTGCCTGGAAGTGCAGACTCTGGGGGTAAAGAAGATACTGTCTCTCTATTGCTCTGACCAGGATTGATGCAAGCATGAATGTGTGGCTGAAGTCAATATGGCCAGAGTGACTTCTGGGGATTCCCTGAGGATTCTGGAACGGGGACTCATTCTCTGAGTGATGCAGGGTGTGGATTTGGTGCCATGAACACAAAAGCACACAAAACAGGGCTGAACTGAGAGACTGAGAAGAGAATCCTGAACCCTGAACAAACCAAGCTTGAAGCTTATAAACCTTCCAGATGTGAAAACTGACACAACCCCATATTGTTTAAGCCAGCTTGAATTGGTCATCTCTTATTTATAAGCAAAATGCATCCTGATAAACTCTCTTGCTTTTGTGTCCAGTACATCATTCTCTCCCTACCTCTTTGTAATAAAGATGAGCTTACAAACCACATTCTGAGCATACCCCCAAAAAATTTCATGCCGAAGCTGTGGTCCCAGGTCTGTGGAAAGAAGGGAACAGATTGGCATACACCATACAAGCTGCAGGCTATCATAAGCCCTATAAGCAACACTGACCAAAATTCAGATAGAAATTTCAGCTGCCAGGAATCCAGTGACTGCAAGTTAAGAATCACCGACACCATTTCATTTAATTGACATCTTTCTAAAAGTTCTTACTTAAAGCAACCTTTCCTTCACCTTATTCTATTCCCAGATTCTCACTAATGGAAACCAAGGCTGGAAATCAACATCCAAGTTCATATTTTATAGTTTCTCTGGAACCTATTGACCAAAGATCAGAAAGGAAAATGAGGTCCAAATCTAGGCCAGGATAGAATACTAGTTCCAGGATCGTATTCTAAAACCTACGCTTTTCCACGTGAACAGGTCAGTAGTCAAGAATTAAAAATAAAAATAAGGAGATTTCCTTCAAGCATTTTAATATGTTGGAAAAAAAGCATTGCTAGAAACCCTATTGTTTCATTCCAGGGGTATCTATGGCAACCATTTTGAGCCACTAACTTTAAAGATAGTTATGTGTCACCAGCTGACAGTGTTGTCCAGCCACTCCTTAATATTGTCTAGACACCTTTCTCTTGGATTTCCTTCAGAATTTCCCTGGCACACTTGCCTTGTAACTTTCCGCCTTTCACAAGTTGAACCAGTTCTTCCAACTTCGATTATGGTACTTTCATTAGTTAACGCACAGCTTTCCAGTAAGCAGATTAGCATTGCATTTGATTCCACTTCCCATGATCATTCCTAACAGCCAAAGTGCTGTTACTATTTCATATTGCAACCTAACTTTATTGTAACCGAATTCTTATGGCCTCAATTAGTACATTTTGTGAAAACACGTTCTTGTGCCATTATAGTGATTTTTCTGGGGCCCAAATGAGTGTGCAGATTCTACTAGAACCAGACAGTAAGCTTCGTAAGAGCAGGGAGGGTTTTGCCAATGGGTTGCCTGAGTAGGAGACTGGAAGGAAGGAGAAGAGTATTGCTGGAATAATTCCTCCCTGTAGCCTCTGGAGACATTACTGTGGACTGGTTTTGTCTTTTGCAAACTTTCGACTTCTGCCAGGTGGCCTTTTCCATACATCCCTTTCTGTCCTTGGGTCTGATGGCTATACCTTCCTCATTCCCTTCTAGATTAATAACAGGGACTCAGTGGTATGTCACAAATCTCGCTTTTTCTACACTCTGCCACCTCTTTGTAAATAGCTCTTTTACTAAACTCTCCTCGAATTATCCCAGAGTGTATCACCTATTACCCTGTGGAGAGATGACAACTGGCTGTCTTTTTAATACAACATAATTAGATAAAGGCAGTCCCAAATCTCAGTCATTTACATTCTGAATATAGGTATCTTTATAAAACATGTATTATTTAAATGCTTAAAAGAAATAAAGTGCCAGGCTTGGTGGCTAATGCCTGTAATCCCAACAATTTGCAAGGCTGAGGCAGGAAGGTAGCTGGAGCCTAGGAGTTTGAGATCAGCCTAGGCAACATAGTGAGACCTCATCTTTCCAAAGGCATGGTAGTGTGTGCCTGTAGTCCCTGCTACGCAGGCGACTAAGGTGGAAGGATCTCTTGGGCCTGGGAGGTTGAGACTGCAGTGAGCCACGGTCATGCCACCGTACTCCAGCCTGGGCGACAGAACGAGAACCCGTCTCAAAAAAGAAAAAAGAAAAGAAAAAATCGATATGCAGTATAATGTGTTAGGGTATCTAACAGAACGTTAATAATATCCACACTCTTAATTGATATTTCCTGATGGTCAGTTATGACAATTGTCTTGGCCTGGGTTCTAGCAGGGGTGCACTGGAGCCAGCGTGAGTTTGGAGAGCTGATGGTGTACATTTCTTCCCACTCTGAGTTCAGCAATATCCTATTGGCAGCTGAAAATAGCCATGGTGGAAGTATTTATGCCACAGAAATCAGCCAACACTACAAATTAGGAGTTTTTCTTTGGGAGACCTGGATAACCAGCACACCATTGCCTATGTGGTTCATATGAAAGTTGCAATACTGTCTGTGCTTTTGCATATGACAGTTTTTCTTAGTTTGGTTTCTCCCAAAAGTAAAGCCTGATTAAGGACTTGGGTGCAGGCAGCTCATTTAAAAGGTGATTCCAGGAATGATGCCAGGAGAATGAGATGGGAAATGAGGGAAATCCAGTTAAAAGATGAGTTGATCTATTCACACTGTACACGACTGGGTTCCATCTTGTGGGGACCCCCTGAGTAACCATGTTGGATGTGCTGCAGCTGAAATCCAAGGTCCTCAGAGGGAAGGTGGCATAAGGCACAAAAATCAATGCTTACACATTGGAATCACCCTGGAACTGGGAAAAAAAATAGCTTGATAAACAGACACTCTTACTCCTGGAATACGGAGCATAAGGCTAGGATCATTTCATTCAAGAAGATGATATAGAAATACTAAAACCTAAGAAACAACCTGAAGCACAAGATACTCTGCTCATTTTTATACCTTGCTCTTTGTCCTGAGAAATTGTGTATGCTTGGAATTTCATAATATGTCTGTTAGAGAAGAGAGGAAACCTATCTCTCAAGGCCTCAAATGAGAAAGTAAAAGTGGTAAGTGGATGTCACCAAGGTCAAGCATCTGCTTATTAAAAAGAGAGTCAAGTTTCCTTGCCCCCCGGGAAACTGTAACCTGGCCATGTCTATAGATCTCTCTGGTGAATTAACTTCTGTTTTTCTTTATTTAAGGGGGGTGGGCAGGTCTCCACACTTTGGACATTTAAAAAAAAGAGGAAGAAGCCTCCTCAGCAGAAGGCTAAGGATCCCAAACTTATAGTACTTGATTCTAACCTATATAACTTCAAGCAGGAAATAAAAGGGGCTTATGGTAAGTCCAGGGAGCTGGGGAAATTGACTTTTATGCCTTAGAATTCATAGTCTCTATCCCAATGCATTTGAAAGATCCAATCAATTAATTAGAGGATGGTCAAAAAAATGTATTTTTCCCTAATATTTACAAGGATTTCTAAAGAAGAGTTTTCTTACTTTTCTACAGCCACTAATAATTTTAAAGAAAGAGGCAAGAGAGACTTTGGAAGATGGTTACAAGACCTGAAAACTCAGGGCCAATAGCCTGGATTTATTCCAGAGATGTGCTGGGGAAGCTGTAGGGTTTGTGTGTGGTCATTTCTTCTCTAAATATTTTTGAGTGCTTACTACATACCAGGTGTTGCCCTAATTGCCAGAGATATAATAGGGAATCAAACAGACACATACATGAATTTTTTTTTCCATTTTTTTCTTCTACATGAGGACTAAACTGCCCCACACTGTTCTCTAGGATGTTTCAGCATTTTTCTCGTGTTTACAGGACACTTCCCTAAGCCTCTTCCTACTGTAGAATTGCCACGTAATCCTCTTTGCAACTCATCTGCCTCCTGCCTGCTTCTTCACCACCACTTCTGCAAATTGGCAGAAGAATCCATTTATCCAAGGGATGACCTCTCTAATGTTGAGAATCTATTATAAAAACGGGTCTTTGAAATTTGCAAGGGACAAATAAATTAGTAATTGAGAGCTTGTGTTAAAAACAGTAGAGCAGGCCAGGCACGGTGGCTCACACCTATAATCCCAGCATTTTGGGAGGCCGAGGCAGGCAGATCACTTGAGGTCAGGAGTTCGAGACCAGCCTGGCCAACATGGTGAAACTCTGTCTCTACCAAAAATGCAAAAATTAGCCGGGCATGGTGGCAAGTGCCTGTAATCCCAGCTACTCGAGAGGCTGAGGCAGGAGAATTGCTTCAACCTGGGAGGCGGAGGTTGCAGTGAGCCAAGATGGTGCCGCTGCACTCCAGCCTGGGTGACAGAGCGAGACTTTGTCTCAAAAAAAAAAAAAAAAAAAAAAAGAAAAAGAAAAGAAACCTGTAAAGCATTAAGAAAAATATCACAAGCAAGGCAAACATCTTAAGAAACAGTTGACTATATTACAGACTGATAATTCTTTTCCAGTTTCCTTTTTAGACTTAAGAAATGTTCAGAATGATATGCAATAAATAGACCGACAACAACAGCACAAATTTTAGCCCCTTTCTCTCCCCTGGGAAAGCCTGTTTCAATTTCCTTACTGGCTGATGATCCAGTTCCCCTCTGAGTTGGAAGTCCTTTTCTGAACCACAGCTCAGACAGGCTGCCTGATGCTGACTAGCCTGTCTCTCTCAGAGAGGCTGGATCATAAATACCAGGTAAGACATTACCTCCACATGGATGAGCTTTGCAAGCAGTTGCCTGGCATTGAACACCACTTTTGCCCCTAAGTTTCTAACACTAGGCACACACCTAACAGGCTGAATTCCTGGGCTACTGAGGTCCGTTGAGATGGTTCTTAATGTACAATCCTTCTCTCCACTTAGTTGCCATCCAAGTTTTTTGGGGGTCAGTCCTGGAGAACTGTTAAGTCCTGTTAGTCTCAGTCTTATTTCTCACCGAAGACTCACTGCCTTATGTGTATGTTCAATGCAGCACTATTCACAATAGCAAAGACATAGAATCAGCCTAGATAGATGCCTATCCTGGTGGATTGGGTAAAGATGATGTGGTACACATATACCACGGAATGCTATGCAGGTATAAAAAAGAACAAAATCATGTCCTTTGCAGCAACATGGATGTAGCTGGAGATCATTACCTAAGCAAATTAGAAAACTAAATACCATATGTTCTCATGTATACGTGGGAGCTAAACACTGAGTACACATGGACACAAAGAAGGGAACAATAAATACTGGGGCCTACTTGAGAATGAAAGGTGGGATGAGGCGAACATTGAAAAATTACCTATCAGGTACTATGCTCACTATTTGGGTAACAAAATAATTTGTACATCAAATCCAGGAAACACACAATTTACCCATGGAAGAAACCTTTACGTGTACCCCCATAACTAAAAGAAAAGTTGGAAGGAAACAGATCCACTACCTTTTAGATCATGTCTTATTTAAGGCACTGCCTGGCCTTCAGAAAGCTAACGCTGCCCAGATGATGGTGGTGACTGAGCTTGGAATTCACACTTGCCACTTTCATTCCTGATGTGAAGCATCTCAAAGGCCTTCACTATTGTTTCTAGGAGCCTGAGATAGGTCTGAGAATAATAGCACATTATTTATACTCATGTGATAGGTTGTTAGAAAATTAAGCTAATCCTGGACAGAGTTCCAAGGAGTTTGCATTTAAATTATGACCCTGGGGCAATGTAAATGCTTCAGAAAAAAGTGAGACAGGGTCTATTCCTTGTGGGTGGCTCCCATTTTAAAATAAGTGATTTGCAATATTTGATCTTTAATGGTTTTCAACCTCTTTGGATAAATTCAAAAATAAAATATTAATTTATATAAATTTGTATTAGATCTCTTCCTGCGTGATTAATCATCCTAAAATTTGGTAGCTTAAAACAATTGTATATTTTGCACAGGAATATGTAGTTTTGGTTTGTCAGGGACTGCTCATCTCTGCTCCATGTGGTTTAACTAGGGGCTGGAGGTACCAGTTTGGAGATGGCTGATGCAGGCCTGGCTCAAGATTGTGCTGGATGGCAGGGAGCTTAGCTGGGGCTGTGAGCTGGGGGATATGATTCCCCTCAACGTAGCCTCACCATGGGCTGCCTGGTGAACATCCCAGATGTTCTGAAGCACATGACATTCTTATGAGCTAGCCTCAGAAGTCACACAGTGTTTGCTTTCATTTTACTTTAGTCATTGATACAGTTATAAGGGCCCATCCAGTTTCAAGGAAAGAGGACACATACTTCACCTCTTAATGGCAATAATGGAGTGTCAAGATTCTAGACTGTGGGATGGAAGATATTGTTGCTGCCATCTATAACATTACAATATATAATCTACTCAGTACTCAAATGATTCTTGATTGAGTTTGCTCAAACCAAAGCAAAAACTTGGACTCACAGAATGTTACTTACTGGTCACAGACAGGTGTCCCTCTCAGAGGCATTTAAACCAGAGCGACTCCATCTTGAATAGGAGCTGGGTAAAATAAAGCTGAGACCTACTGGGCTGCACTCCCAGGAGGTTAAGGCACTCTTAGTCACAAGGTGAGATAGGTGGTCAGCACAAGATACGGGTCACATAGACCTTGCTGATGTAACAGTGTGCCATAAAGAAGCCAGCCAATTCCCGCCAAAACCAAGATGGCAAGGAACGTGACCTCTGTTCATCCTCACTGCTCATGATACACTAATTATAATGCATTAGCATGCTAAAAGACATTCACACAGCACCATGACAGTTTACAAACGCCATGGCAACGTCAGGAAGATACCCTATATGATCTAAAAAGGGAAGGAACCCTCAGTTCTGGAAATTGACCACCCCTTTCCTGGAAAACTCATGAATAATCCACCCCTTGTTTAGCATATAATAAAGAAATAACCATAAAAATGGCCAACCAGCAGCCCATGCTGCTGCTCTGCCTATGGAGTAGCCATTCTTTATTCCTTTACTTTCTTAATAAACTTGCTTTCACTTTACTGTATGGACTCCCTCCAAATTCTCCCTTGTGTGAGATCCAAGAACCCTCTCTTGGGTTCAGGATCGAGATTCCTTTCCGGTAACATCCCCATGAGTGAACTAATTGCATAGTATTTGCTCAAATGCAGTTGAATATTCAGGGCCGAGATGGGAGTTTTTGTCTTTTTAGATCCATTAACTTGCTAAAGAAAAATACTTGATTTTTTTTTTTTTTTTTTTTTTTGTCTAGCTCTTTCTCCCAGGCTGGAGTGCACTGGCACAATCTCAGCTCACTGCAACCTCTGCCTTCTGGGTTCAAGCGATTCTCCTGCCTCAGTCTCCAAGTAGGTGGGATTACAGGCATGCACCACCACACCTGGCTAATTTTTGTATTTTTAGTAGAGATGGGGTTTTACTATGTTGGCCAGCCTGGTCTTGAACTCCTGACCTCAGGTGATCCATCCACCTCATCCTCCACAAGTGCTGGGATCACAGACATGTGCCACCATGCCTGGCTAAAACACTTCATTTTTTAGGCTAGAGGATATACTTAAAGAAATATAAATAATAATTCAAATTTTCTTTAAAATCAGAAAAGGGAATATAAAAGACATTTGAATATAGTCAGCAATTCAAAATATGCTTCAGTTCTCAAGGACACATGAAGGCATGAAAGAAAATAAAGAAGAAAAAGAAAGTAGATCGAAAATGTGAAGAAAGAAAAACTATATAGCAAGCAGGAAGGAGACAAAGGTAGCGAGAGGATAGGACAACGAGTGCAACTGTATCAGCGTAACAGGAGATTACCCAAAATAGTTGTTCCAGCAGCAGCCAAATTATAGGCACCACACCTCCAACACACTATTTCAGCATGCTTCCCTCCCTCCCACAATCCTGATTTCCTAGAATTCTAAGCAAGGAGGAGTAAGCAGCCAGTAGCAACCCCTTACCTTATCTAGCAAGGTAAGTTCAGTAACATCAACCCCAGTAGTTTCAAAGATTTGGGAAAATGAAAAGTAACTCTGTATTAAAATATGATTAGGGAAATGGATATCTGGTTGATGGCCAATATCCACCCCACTCCAGGAAGAATTCACATAATTCTAAGAGTGCTCATTAGCTTTAAATTCTTGGGTAGACCATATCTATGTGTAATGGATTATTTTTTATTTTACTTTGAGTAACATGGGGAGCCAACAAAAGGTGTTAAGCAGAGAGAGAGATGAGTAGTGAGTAGTAAGGTAAAAACAAGACAACAACTTAGCAGGCTTCTGCAATAATTCAGGCAAGACTTGACGAGGGCTTAGAAAAGGATGGTAAGGGCTGGGCACAGTGGCTCACACCTGTAATCCCAGCACTTTGGGAAGCCAAGGCAGGCAGATTGCTTGAGCTCAGGAGTTTGTGACCAGCCTGGGCAACACCATGAAACCCCATCTCTACTAATCAAAAAATTAGCTGGGCGTGGTGGCGTACGCCTGTAGTCCCAGCTACTTGGGAGGCTGAGGCAGGAGAATTGCTTGAACCCTGGAGGCAGAGGTTGCAGTGAGCCAAGATCACGCCGCTGCACTCCAGCCTGGGTGACAGAGCAAGACTTCGTCTCAAGAAAAAAAAAAAAAAGTATGCTAGGGTGGCCTTGGTGAGAAACGGTTGGAGTCAGGATTGTCTGATATTGTCAGAAATACAAATTATATTAGCTTTTCTTAGTATTGCTTGATTTGATCTTTCTAGGAATTTTGCCCTTTCATACTAACAATGGGGGCAGAATTCAATATCAGCTTAAAGAACATGAGCTAATTAGTGTTTCTCAAACTTCACTTTACCTACAAATCACCTGAGGATAGTGTTAAAAGGCAGATTCTGGTTAAGCCTGAGATTATGCATTTCTAAGCTCCCAGGTGATGCAAACAGTTCAGAAATCAAAATATGAAACAGAAACCTACTAAACGTCAGTTGGCCATGTCAAATTTTGAACCTCTGGAGTAGATGCTAAAGCCTCATATTCACTGTGACTTCATCCAAGATTTCTGAGGATGAATCATGAGTGTGTTCTTCTGCTGCTCTTTACATTCTAGCCAGCAAGTTGATGTACAGATAGATTACTATGCATTTCTATTTTGTTTATCTTAAAGACTGATTCTTCAATGTACAGGTGCTTATCTATGTAAAAGTTTCTTACACAAATTAGTAGCAATAAGGTACACTAGGTGAGCATACAACAATATACAAGAAAATCATACGACATGGCAAATGTAAAGCTATGCATGCATATTTAACTCTTAAAAATCACAACAAAAATGTGAAGTCAGAGCTCATTAAATTAGAGACTGATTTAACCAAATGATTGTGCAGCCATTACACAGGTGTTCCATTTCAGAAAGTATTAGAGCATAGTGCCGGGGGGCCTCAAAGCTAATTTCTAACCTAGACTAATCATGCCAGGAATAATGACCTGCCGTTACTGCCTTGTGAATCAGACCCTATGATATTTAAAATAATTAAGATCAAAGCCTAACGAGAAGGTCACTGAATTCACCAGTCATAAAACGTTAGTACAAAACCCAAGGCTGTACTTGTTTGCTCAACAATCTTCAACGCTCAAGTTATAAAAGGGTCTTAAGAGGGACACAAACATCATCTTCAAAAAATGTCACTCCCCTCAAAGGTGCTGCCAGAGAGCAAGGGAAGTCTCTCAATGAATTGGTTATTCAAAGCAAAAGTGTTACTCAAAAGTCATTATACATTTGAAAAGACCAGGTAACTTAAGAGATGGGCTGATGGGATATATCAGCTTGCTGGCTGCAATCCCAGAACACAAACTGGGATGAAGATTTGCTTCCCATTTGTAGGCGGCTGGAAAGGAGTGTGAAATGAATTGGTTTGTCCAGGCTGAGTTCCCAGGAAAAGGGTGTCTTTCATACCAAAAGCTCCCACCCAAACTGGCAGGGTGCTTCAAGCCAAAGATTTAGACAGTCAAATAAGTGCTAATTGAGTTAGAGGTTTGGTTAGGAAGTGGGTTGACAATTAAGTTCAGCGAAGGCCCTTTAATGGCCCAACTACCAGCCTTGAGAGGCTTTGGTACAGCACACCAAAGCAGAAGGCTTCCTAATCCACTACTAAGACTTTGATTGAAATTCCTAATCTTTGGCTGGAATAAGTGTGAGACATCATAGAGAGAAGTGGCCTGGGGTGATAGTGGCAGAGGAAGTTATGAGGGTGATACTGAGGATGTATTTGTTCACAAGATTTCACTGGAGATATTCGAGTCTGCAGAACCACAATGGGGAGCCCCAAGAAGAAGCATTTCATTTTTAAGAGGACAACGCTAGACAATAGCTTTATACTGCTATGGCCAAGTTCCCAGCAAGGTTTTGTTGCTTTGTTTTTAACCAAAACAAGGACCAAATACTTTTAACCAAAAGCTATGGGTGTTAACTAAAACCAATACTTTTTATAAAAGTATTTTTATTTAACAAACAATTTAATGGGGCTTTACTATTGCCATTCTTATTATTCCTTTTGCAAATACCTCACTTGTATCTCAAACAACCCTCTGAGGTAAATCACATTATTGTCATTACTTTATAAACAAGAAAACTGAGGCACAGAGAAGCTCAAGAACTAATAAGTGGCATACTTGGAATACAGAAATGGTGGAAAGGCATCTGGGTTAAAACAAAAAGAATGTTACAAGAGAAGTAAGGAAGGAAATTTTTATTATTCCTCTTTGGAAGGAAGGATATAAAAACCCAAGAGAAAATTTAATAGGCCTCTTCACTGCCCCTTTCCCACAAGTGCCAAAATGAAAGCCCATTAATAGGGCTTAAAACTAAAATTTAGTACAGATAAAAGCAAGTCCTCATTACCCAACATATAATTAACTGGGGAATTCACAGCTGTGGGACATGATGGGGAAGGATGAGGCTTGCCGATTCAGGCTGCTGATTTTCAAACAAGGTGTTAAAACCAAGTAACCAGATCTCTTTATTTGCAGGGTGTAGCACTGGCTACTCTGCTGTAGATGATGTTGAGAAGTCGAAACTTCGAAAACAGATCCTACATTGCTTATGGATTAAAGAAACTGAATTTATGTGGTCAACAAATATATGAAAAAAAGCTCATCATCACTGGTCATCAGAGAAATGCAAATCAAACCCACAATGAGATACCATCTCACGCCAGTTAGAATGGCGATTATTAAAAAGTCAGGAAACAACAGATGCTGGAAAGGATGTGGAGAAATAGGAAGGCTTTTACATGTTGGTGGGAGTGTAAATTAGTTCAACCACTGTGGAAGACAGTGTGGGAGATTCCTCAAGAATCTAGAACCAGAAATCCCATTTGACCCAGCCATCCCATTACTGGGTATATACACAAAAGATTATAAATCATTCTACTATAAAGACACATGCACACGTATGTTTATTGCAGCACTGTTTACAATAGCAAAGACTTGGAACCAACCCAAATGCCCATCAGTGATAGGCTGGATAAAGAAAATGTGGCACATATACACCATGGAATACTATGCAGCCATAAAAAACGATGAGTTCATGTCCTTTGCAGGGACATGGATGAAGCTGGAAACCATCATTCTCAGCAAACTAACACAGGAACAGAAAATCAAACACCACATGTTGTCACTCATAACAATGAGAACACATGGACACAGGGAGGGGAATATCATACACCAGGGGCCTGTCAGGGGGTGGGGGACTAGGGGAGGGATAGCATTAGGAGAAATACCTAATGTAGATGACGGGTTGATGGGTGCAGCAAACTGCCATGGCACATGTCTACCTGTGTAATAAACCTGCATGTTCTGCACATGTATCCTAGAACTTAAAGTATAATTTAAAAAAAGAAAAAGAAAAAGAAACTGGAGAACTGGAGGTCAGATGTATTCTACACCCACCACCTCCCAACTCAAGTAAACTTGCCCTTTTCAAGTTCACTCCTTTACCCTTTCCTAAGGGCAGACTGTTCAATCTCCCACCACTCATGGACCAGTTCAGCCATTCTCCTTTCTCCTCACTGCCTTACAACCTCCTGCAAAACCTCCTTTCCACAAAGCCTCATGGCACTTAATGCCATCATTCCCTGTCCCTCTGCAGGGTTGGCACCTACTGGTTCCTAGAATATTTCCCTCATTCACTGAAGACTTTGGAAATTGGATCACCGTCTTCTTAGATCCCATACCTCTTACCAATTGACAACATCCAAGTAGACAACACAGTCATTATCAGGTACCTATGATTCTCTGTCTCCCTAGATCCAATGACTAAAACTTCTACTGCCTTTTGCTAATCTACTTCTGTAGCCATATCAAATTTCAGCATTGTTCCACTTCCACATTTTTATTTCCAAATACCCTTCTCTCTGAGCACATTCTTCCATCTTCCTCAGTCTTTCACTCCCTCACTCAATATTTTTTTCCACTTCCAACTTACCTATTAACTTCTTATTGTCTGTCCTTTTACTGCACCTCCAAACTCCAGATCAATCCAACCATATGCTTTTTCTCCCTTTATACTCAAGCTGAAAAAAAATACCTTGCCACTTTGCAAATTGGTGACACTATTGAGAAGTACAAGCCTTTGGAAACAGATCTATAGATTTATACAGTTTCCAGGAAACATGATTTAATCCCTGGCCTCTGGCAAGAATTGACTAATTAGCTCAAGACCCCCTACGTCAGTGCCAAAGCTCTTGGGAAGTCAGGCTCAGCCCAGGTGGATAACAGTATTGGGCTTCAGATAACTTGAACACAGTCCAAATTCTCTTATACAATAGCTCTCGGGTTTATTATTTTACAGTTCTAAAATTTTATTATATGCAATGTCATGTAAAGTTAGTGATGTTTAGGAATCTCATTTGCATTTTAGTGGCATTTGTTTGAAAATAGTTTACCTATCTGCCAAGTAATGTGCTTAATGATGGAGTGGAAGGATAGTGATGAAATTCAGGTAAAAGATGGCATAGCCACAGGCAAAAATCACAGCTTCAAAGGGTAGGGAGAAGCCTCAAGTCTTGTAGTTCAAAAATCCTTTTACTTAGCAACATCACTTAAAATAACAAAAAAACAAAACTCCTTCTGGACCAGTATCAACTGCTATCTCTCTCCTTCCAACGCTTCAATTTCAATTCTAGCTTCCTTTGTGTTCCACTAAATAGATCATTGTAACAGCTAATGTATCCAAAATCCTTCTGCCTTAGTAATTTTTATACATAAGTGAAGATTTCCACTTTTTAATGCCATTAAAATGTATATCTGTTAACCATCTTTTAAAATTTATTAAATTCTTCCCTGCCATCTTAAGGATAATGTGTAAACCACATTTTGCTATTTCTTGCATTTGCAGAATCCTCTCTAAAATTTAGTCATAGGATTTGTAATGTCCAATTAGCTGCTCAATGAATTTTTGAGTCTCTCAGGTCTTTGTCTTTGTTCCCAAAGTTGAAGTGGCTAGAAAAATGTCCTATAGATACATTTGTTGCCAAATCACACACACACAAAATATGCTACTATCTCAGAGGTATCAGGACATATAATAACAACCTCTAAATATTTCCCCAAGAGTTGCTCCTATTCAGTGAACACCAGAAGTAGTCTCTGGGATGTATGGAGAGTAACATACTCCACTCAAAAATATAAAAAATAACTCATTTGTAAGTTTTAAACCTTCTCACATTACTTTTGGTTTCAAAGTATGGACTGTTTTGCTCAATGCCAAACTGGCTTTGGTGACTTTACATTTCTTTGCTTGCAGGGTCTGGTGGATAGGATGGGACAAAGGTCAAATGCCTTTAACACTCTGGGTTTCAGTTAACTCAGTTCTCAGGTGAGAACTTCAGCCCTTCTGCTCCTGCAGATTCCAGTGTCAGGTGGTTCAAATGCCATAGCACAGATGAAAGCAGCTTGAACAGCAGAAGGAGCTTTATCCATGAAAGGACAGAGCCAACTGAGGCCAGGGGAGCTTTTGGTGACTAGCAGGAGCATTATTCACATTTTACAGTTTCTAGCCTAGTATGTGTCAGTCACTCGGTAAACATTTGATGAACAGGTGAATGAATAAACGAATAAAGGAGCCCACTTTGATATTGATACAAAGAAACTAATAATATTAAATAATTTTCCCCAAAGCCAGAAACTCCTTTTTGAAAAAATCTAATGCATATTCAAATTGCATTGGTCATCAGAAACCTCTTTGGAAAGCAGAATGGCAAACTCTAAATCAGGCCCATGGGATTTTCCTTAGAAAATTGATCAGACAGTCAGGCGCGGTGGCTCATGTCTGTAATCCCAGCACTTTGGGAGGCTGAGGCGGGCCGAACACCTGAGGTCAGGAATTCGAGACCACCCTGGCCAACATGGTGAAACCCCGTCTCTACTAAAAATACAAAAATTAGCTGAGCATGGTGACGGTCACCTGTAATCCCAGCTACTTGGGTGGCTGAGGCAGGAGAATTGCCTGAACCCAAGAGGCGGAGGTTGCAGTGAGCGAGATCGCTCCATTGCACTCCAGCCTGGGCGATAGAGTGACACTCTGTCTCAAAAATAAGAAAATTGATCAGACAATTGAAATTATCACCTCTGCAAGTCAACAGACTTTCAGAAAGAAACTAGTTTTTGAAAGTGCATGCTCATGTATGTGAAAGTCTAGTTTACCTATCAAGATCATCCTGGGTAGGCATAGTGGCTCACACCTCTAATTTCAGCATTTTGGGAGGCCAAGGGGGAGGATTGCTTGAGGGCAGGAGCTTGAGACCAGCCCTGTCTGTCTCTTTTAAAAAAAGAATTATACATATACACATAAGTGTGTGTATATATATATGTGTGTGTGTATATATATGTGTAAATATATATTCCTTTAGTTATAATACTATACTATTTATTGATGACAGGACAATGTTCAAATATTGAAAAGAGGAAACAGTGTTGACGTTGTCTTGCGAGAAACTGTTGAAGGAATTGGGTAGGTTTAGAAGGAGGAAGAAACAACCAAGGAGAGAAATGGAAACTCCAAATTAATCTCTCTTTATGCAAAAAAAAAGAAATCAAATTATTCTAATGAGATCCAGCAGCAATAAGCAAATATTAGACCCAGATTTTAAGGAAGAGCCTGTTAGCAACTAGAACTGCCTAGAAATGAGACAGGTGCCTTTGCAGAAGGCATCTTCCTTCCATGGTATCAAATCACAAGAGAAGAAGAGCGGCGGGATGGGATTTCATCATACACCAGACCTGCTGACCTTCCTTCAAAGCATCTGTAAAATCTTCTCCCCATTTATGACCCAGAAAATGAAGAGGACCAATGTGAAGGGCTGGATAAGCAATGCTCAGACATCCAGAGTCCACAGCACAGACATTTCTTCATTATTGAAGACTTACCAGGGCTGGATGCAGTGGCTCACATCTGTAATCCCATCACTTTAGGAGGCCAAGGTGAGCAGCTACTTGGGAGGCTGAGGTGGGAGGATAGCTTGAGCACAGGAGAGGTTGCAGTGAGCTGAGATTGCACCACTTCACTCCAACCTGGGCAACAGAGCAAGACCTTGTCTCAAAAAATTAAAAATAAAACTTGCCAGGTGAGAATCAGGTGGCAGACATGGCAGGAACTGAATTCTCCAGAGGGCTCCAGCTTTGCAGTTCACAGCACACAAAACTGGAGCCCTTCTTTGCCCTAAGCACAATAAACACTTATTGAATTAAAACATAGGCAGAAATCAAAGGCAGGCAGAGCGAAATGGTGAGAACTGCTCTTCCAGACATTTCTAAATATGCCAGAGAAACTTTCAACGGCATGTTAGAACTTTATAAATTATGTGTAAACATGACCTCTGAAAAAAAGCCAGGGTCTATGTGGCCAAGAGTGACTTCTTTAGTGAATCATAGCTGGGACAGTAATTTTTGAACTCTGCAATTTTCCACATCTTTTCCAAAATAAGTGGTGTAGTGAAAACACACGATCCAGTGTCCTTCTGCCAGCTTCCCATCCCCTATTACACTTTCTTTTCCTTGTAATAATTTTTTGCCTTGGTTCAGGATATCTCACCTTATCATTCCCATTTTTCCTTTTTTTTTCTCTCCAATCTTTCACTACTAGAACTTCCATAAATCATCAATGGCATTCTGGAGGGAATGGGAAAAGGGGGCAAAATCCTGCTCAGTCCTTCATGCTAATTTTGATTTCTACCCCTGATGTATTGAGTCTGACAAAGGGAAGATAGACGGGCAGTCAAGTGAGAATGTTTAGGCTTTCTTTCCTGAAATATTGTCTTCATGGTATAAATAACTAAAATTTATGTCGCACAGATTATTTTAGGCAATTCTATAATCTGGGTATTAACAGGATTTCTATTTTAAAGATAAGGAAACTCTCCTAAAGTTGCACTCTTAGGAAGTGGGGGAAATGAGAGTTAAACTACATCATGCATTCTGCAGGTCAAGCATTTAATTATTATATTATTTTTCAATCGGCCCACAACAAGTTAAAATTCAGGCTCCTCTCTGGGTCCTCCCAGTTCATTGCCTCTTCTACATAAATGTTGGCAAGTCATTTTTCCACGGACTGTCTTAGAGATCCTCTCATCTCTGGCAATTCTACAACTATGCCTACTCAAAACATTGTATTACCTGTGGACTCCAGAATGGGGGTTCTTTTTTTAAAAAAGCTGTTGTTCAGGACCTTCCATATTATAGTTCCACCACCATTCAAGAGTTACTGTGCCCACCACTTTTTTTTTTTTTTTAATTTGGCTGAACATGTTTGTGAACCCAGATTAGAAATTCATGGCCCGACAAGGTTGTTGTTGGTTTTTTTTAATTGATTCACAAATGTGTTTAATTAAAGAGCAAGAGGGAATATTTGAAATTAAGACTGGCCCCATAACATCTGGGGTCCAATTCAATCTATTCATGCTCTCTAGAACATTCCTCCCACTCTCAGCTACATGTCACTGCTTCTTTCTGTTATTCCTTCTTCCTCTCACACTCGCTTAGGGTCATGCTTACATGCTCAGAGCTTCATATATATTGAAATTACAGGTAAGTGTTTTCCGTTTCCCATGGCAATCCTAAAGGGAAGTTAGAGCAGGTCTTCTGACATTTTCCATTCATTCTCTATGTAGCATGGCATTCAGAGAGTGTTACTGAATAAATAATTTAAAACATCTAAGATAAATTGCTGTTTGGTATGGAGTCATAAAAATTGGTTGCAATTTATTTTTAAAATACACAACTACAGTAATTTCAAGTTTAGTGTTCATGAGCTACACTTTTGATTTTTTAAGTCAATAACAATTTTGAATACTCCTTTCCACAAATCCCATAGAAAGAGTAAAAAGGTCTTGAAATTTTCAATGTTTGGCATTACAGCAACTGCTGAAAATTCCTGTTAGACAATATTCCCTGACTCTTGGATCAGAAAGAAGGGCCAGCATAGCAGGGCATGTCTACTAGGACATCATACAGTTCGTACTCCACAGTTCCTGCTTCAGGATAGCACAAAAGCCCCCAGACAAACAAGCAAAAGTTCTCAAGATTCTTTACTGCCTTTATCTAATATAACCAGCTTTCTGTCATAACTAGATGTTGCCCAGTATGCAACAGGGAGCCATGTTGTCAGACCATTCACAATTTCCTAAACTATCACAAAATTCCCATAGGAAGGAGAGGGCATTTCACATGGTTGGAAGTGCCATCCACGCAGGGGCTCAGGGAGGATAATGATTGCATTTTTAAGGTAGAGACCAGGCACCCATCCCTCCTCCAAATCTCTCTGCCTCCAGCCCTCTATTCTTCCTCTCTCTCTCCCTCCTCTCTCTCTCTCTCCCTCCTCTCTCTCTCTCCCTCCTCTCTCTCTCTCCCTCCCTTCTCTCTCTCCCTCCCTCCCTTCTCTCTCTCTCTCTCTCTCATCTCTCTTTCTCTCAAGGATGCGCTCAGCTCCTGCTAAGGAATTTAAGGAATAACTTTTGGTCCATCCTCAGAGGTTACAGGTGAAGAACAGAAATAGCATGATATATGGGGAAAGTTGGAGGAGACAGTCTTAGTCCTGAAGAATCAGGGAATGCTATAATGTGCCCTGAGGTACAGTCTACAGAGACTACCTTGACAAAGAATTTAAAATAAGAGCTAAAGAGAAATTGGCCACTTAATAATTTGATAGTAACAGCTTTGACTTTGTTTTTAAATATAAGGAGGGAAGAAATAACACCTGAATAAATTTAGTATGCCAAGATGTTAGCTTCAACTCTGACAAAAGGTTTGTGCTTATACAAAGTGAGATTCTCTAATAACCTGAATTTTAGTTAATTATTTTTGTACATTTACAGAGGGATGATGATCAGAGGTAGGCTTCTGTTTTTGGATACTACATTCTGTGGTTTGACATTAAGGGAATGTTTGTATCTGCTTTGATCTCACCTAATTACCCCAAAATTTAGTAGAATTCCACAATTTATCCAAGAATATTATAATGAAGCAATATTTCTGGATATTGTTCGAAGGATCTCATGATCCATCCATAATATTCTAGTAATAAAAGCTATCATTAACTGAATACTTAGTCTAAGCCAGGTACAGGATCAGCCTGTTCTATGTATTATCCTGTCTAATCACCCAATCAACCCTATGATGTAATAGGATTATTATATCCATATATTACAGATGAGGAAACTGAGGTACTGGAAGTGAAATGAATTGCCCAAGGTTGCTGAGCAGAAAGTGGTAGTGCTAGAGCTCTAGCCCAATCACAATTCAGAGCCAACATATACAACTACTGTGTTATTCATCCTTCTCAAATAAAAATTACCAGATGTTTTCAACTGTGGGTGTATAATACCTGCTCCTGGTGAGGACTGGGGCAAAAACGTACTTTCATATCACAGGTGGAAATGTCACTTAATGCAGCTTTATTTAAAAGCAACATGGCAATACTCATTAAAAGTAATAGTGCACATAGCCGTTGATTCTGCAGCCCTTCTCCTGGGAGTCAAATTCTGTGAGTGTAAAAGCATAATCTGCACAAGGATATAATATGAATTCTAATCCACAAGAGGAAATGTTAAATCAACTATGGCATCATTGCACCATGTACTATTACACAGCTGTTAAAAGGAATGGGGTAGATCAACCCAGTCAGTTGACTTGAAGAAATTGAAAGAAAAATCAAAGTGTAATAAATATCTCATTTTTGTTAAAAAAAAAGGGGGGGGTAGAATTTTGGGGGCAGTGAGACTATTCTGTACAGTAATGTATTGGTATATACATGTCATTATACATTCGTCAAACCCCATAAAATATGTGACACACAGAATGAACCCTAATGTAAACTGTGGACTTTAGTTAATAATAATGTATCTATACTGGCTCTACTGGCTCATTGGCCATAACAAATGTCCCATACTGATGCAAGACGTTAATAATAAGGGAAACTGGGGAGCAGGTGGTAAGAGGGATATATGGGAACTCTACTTTCCACTCTACTTCTCTGTAAACCTAAAACTGCTCCAAAAACAAAGTCTATTAATTAAACAAAATTATTAGAGACTACTATATATATTTGGATATAAATTTTAATATGATGAGTATAGAAAAATGTAATTTAAGCTTAATTGTGGGGCTAAGGGAACAGAAGAGGGTGAAAGCAAAAAAAGTTTTTTCCTAAACTTTCCAACTCGCAAGATGAAAACAATAGAAATAGGTATTCTGTGGGCTAATTAGTGTAAACCAGTATGTGTGTTTTAGAAAAACATATAGTTAGACAAATTCTCCTGGAATTTTCCCCACGGACTTTTAGAATCTTTAATTCTAGCATTTTGTAAATGTGCTATTGAGTATCCAATTGTTGTTTTCCCCAACTCACCGTCAAACCATAACAAAAGAATAATAACTGATAAGAGGCTGTCACTAAATGAGAAGTTGGATCTCCCATACTGAGCTTTGCACTCAGCGAAATCAAGGAACTTGAAGTTCCTAGAGGTAGTAACTTCAATCATATTTTCTCCTTTTCTTCTTCATTCCAAAGCCAATGCAAAACTAATAATGATGTTCTACAAGATGGCCTGAGAATTTCTACTGGTGTTTAAGTCATCATAAACTGTAGACTACTTTGCAGTAGATTTCCTTCCAAGAAGATTTTAAGATCTCACTTGGAAAGAGTCTATATCAATCAATCAACCAACAAATCAATCAATCACACACACACACCACCAAGCCAGGAAAATAAAGATCCCCACCAAAAAGTAGTAATATAAATGTTATAATGTTGTGTTATAATATACATTTCAGATGTATAGATACGTATATAATTTAATTCACATATTTGAAGATTGAAATCCTGAAATCCTGGGAATCTGCTTAAATAATGAAACGGAAGTCCCATAACTCTTAAATGTAGCACGCTCACATAGAGTTGTTGGAGCAGGTTTCGCATACCTCAAGGGACAATTTCCAACCATATCCTTCAAGGTGTATTTTCCTCTAATTAAACCTAATCCCTCTTACCTCCTGGTGGCCTGTAAGAGCTCGATTTTCAAGCGTCACCACATCGTCTGGTTGCCTTCTGAGATGTTACAAAAGCAGTCAGTCCCACCCGGGCTCTGCTTACTGAACCCTGAAAAAAGCGTGAGCAGGAAACAGCCAGGGCCTCCTCTACAGGGCTTACGTGATGAAATGCAGCTCACCATTAGTTGCCCCTGCAATTTTCACACCTGGGGCTCTTGAGCTTTGAGGGTGCAGGTGGCCTAATACAGGAGTAATTAGTTCCATGTCATTAATTATTTATATGGAGCTTATCACCCTGGGTTGGCAATTTTTGTTGACTCAAAACTGCAGGTGCACAAAGGAATAGTGGCGGAGGGAAAATGGTGCTCTGTGGGCTGAATATCTTCGAGACTGTCTCCAGGAAAGGCTATGTCATTCATAGCAACCACAGAGTTTTGAGAGTTGACAAGTAATTTTACATGGTGACTCACCATTGCTACAGTTGCAAAGGTAATTCTATTTGACTCACATGAAATTCTGTTTTTAATGTGTATTTGACAGGAAAATAGTCTTCCCATTTTGTTGTTGTCCTTAAAGAAAAGCAGGGAATGAGAATTTACTGCCGTGGTCTTCTCTTTCAGACCTAACTGTTCTTAGAAAATTCCAAGTAGTTTCAATAACACTACTGGAAATTCTCCTTATTAACTCTGCTTTTAGAACCTTCTGGTGAATCTGATTTCAGTACTGCTTGTCAATATATAACTTCGTTCTAACCAACTACAATCCCTAACCCAGGCTTAAACATTTGTTGCAACAAACTTTTCCCTGAACTACCTGGTGCTTTCCTTGTGATTCTAAACTCATCTGCCTCCATTTTCTTGCAGTGATGCTGGTTTTTCTTAAGCTACTATTCCAGCTACTTATTTCTCCAAATGAAAGAAAGGGGAGAAAAAAGAAGAAAATTTTGTTTTCCATACCCAGATTTCTGGTTCAGGATTTTATTAAGCATTTAGAACACAGAACGATTTCAGATCAATTCATGGTAAACTTTAATCTCACTTCTATAGTGGTTTGAAAGCAGAGAATCTCTGAACTAGTATCTCAGTGGGAAAGAATTTTTGCAGTTCAGTCTCTCTTAATGCTTCCTCCATATCAAGGTAATCCTTAAGTCTTCTCTCTAACTCAGTAACTCAGTTCCTTCCACATTCACGGCAGCAAATTAACCATGATCTATTTAAGAAATTGTCACAGAAGCCTTGTGTCTCCCATCTCGGTATTTCTAGCAATCACCAGATGATGCTGATGGCTCATATATTTTGAGTAGCAAATTTCTAGATCATCACGTAAAAGCTATTTCTTCCTTTTGGTTTTGTAGCCTCCCTGTGTTGTCCACAAAGAATGGCCCTGCACCCCCTAATAAAAAAAACCAACCCAACCCCGCATAACCCTACCTTTTTCTGTGAATTTTGCATTTCAAATTTTTCACTTCACACCTCTAGTTTTTGCTGTGAGAAAATTCTGGTGCATATCAAATAAGTTATATATTGAGAAGAAGAGGCGAACATTTACAGCTGCGGAAGGGCATGCTCTCACCTCTGTCTGCCTTTACAGCACGGAAAGGTTGCCTTAACATTCTGTGACAGAGGTTCTCAAAGTGAGAGCTCCCTGTAGAAGCCACGTCAGCATCTCTGGGAGCTTGTTAGATATGCAAATTCTCAGTCCCACCCTAGATCTTCAAATTAAGAAACTCTGGGTTGGGGCCCAGGAATCTGTTTTAACAAGGCCTCCAGGTGATTCAAATGCCAGCTGAAAATTGAGAACCACTGGTACCTACATTGTTTGGTCAAAAATCTTACGAGCTTTGCATTCATCCAATTCATCTTAAATCGTGAATGTTAATAATAAATTAAACTCTGGTTTGGAAGTTTAGAGAGTGCATCTCCACTTCACCATAAACTAGTTTGGTCTAGTTCATACGCTTGTGCAACCCCTTCAAGGGTTGGGGTTTGGTTCTCTCATTAGTAAGATGATTATATAACCAATCCTTTAAGCTAGAAACTCTTGATAGTAATAAAAGGTGCTGTTATAATTACACATGGACAATAGGCGTAAATTGGGACTATCCTAGGCAAACTGGAACATATGGAGATTTTACTCTTTAGGAAAATAAAGATTGGTTGGGACAAGACAGCGATAAGCCTTCCAGGTCTAAGATTTTTACAATGTGAACCCTAAAATTTTTAAGTAGGAACTCATAACTACTGTCTTTATTCGGAACTGCAAATCTAAAGAAGAATTTATCTATCTCTCAATTATGTTATTACATTTTTAATCACCTTGCTTAATTTAAAAGTGCATTTGAAGCTCTAGGATATCACCCTAGGGTATAGGATGATCAGGGTGTAAAAGCTGTCAGTATCAAAATAGAATCACAAATGTTAAGAAACAGACAAACAGAGCCTTTACCTCCCTGAATACACATATACTTCACTATGACATGTGTATTCCCATTACAATGCTGTATTTCCAAATAAACGTCTTCCTTTGTAGAGACCCTCTCTCTTTGTTATTTAGGTTGACAAGGGTGAATTTTGAAAATCCAAAAGTCTCAAAGCCCTGGGTACAAAAAGAATGCCATCTCGGCAACTAAAATATCCCACTAACCATGTGTTACTTGGACTTATTCAGAAATAGCCAGGAGCACAATTTGATCTAAGAGTGTCATGTTCGTGTTTGGTTAGAGGTTTTTTTGGGGTTTGGGGTTTTTTTTCCCTGTTAAATAAGCAAGAGTTATGTGATATCTTGAAAGGTGAGGATATTATGCTCAAACATTTTCAGTGTATTGAAAAGTTTCAATAGACTAAAAAACTGTGCTAATACGAACTCCCCCTTTCCTCCGTCCCCTTCAAAAAAACTTAAATCAGAGAAATGCAAATGACTGTCATCTTGTAGTGTGAACTTTGAACCTAGAAGAATCAAAAAGACAAAAAGACTATTTAGAAAATAGTATCTTTCCTTTCTAGCTATAAACTACAGTGTATGTGTGTGTTACAGATATTGGGAATATTTTCTATTTCATTTAACATCATAGTATAAAAAATTGGTCCTTAAAAATTTATCATTTTCAACTTGCCTTCAGGCCTAACATTAACTTAGGAAAATCTAAAATATATAACTTTTCTTTAGAAAGTTTCGTAAATTTCAAAGTTTTTTTCTTGGTGGTTTTATTTTCCAGTAAGTCTCCCAGTCTGAAGTCCAGCTTTCAAAAATCTATTCCCAATATCTAAACAATAGTTTTAGACCACCGTTATCAGTGTGCTGGGAAATCAAGCAGTCAGGAAGTATTTCACAGGCACCTAATATTTTCGTAATAGTGATCAATAATAATGAAGCTTTGCATTTTAGGTTTCACGTTTTTCCTGAAAACATCTAAAGTATGTTTTTTCTAAACAATGTTGTTATAGAAAGATTTGGTAATTTGTGCTATCAGTTATCCATTGATAATATCCTGTCAGAATATGACAAAATATATTTAGAAAGAGCTCATAATATGCAAAGCTCATAATATACAAAACAATAATATGAAGTAAAAAGTCAAACACAAAGTAATATAGACTATAATATGCAGTGGTAGACATAAGATGAGAAAGAAACATTAAAATATTAACAGTTGGCTGGCCACAGTAACTCAACCCTGTAATCCTAGCACTTTGGGAGGCTGAGGCAGGTGGAGCACTTGAGTTCAGGAGTTCAAGACCAGCCTGAGCAACATGGTGAAACACTGTCTCTGCAAAAACTACAAAAAATTAGCCAGGCATGATGGCATGTGCCTGGAGTCTCAGTTACTCAGGAGGCTGAGGTGGGAGGATCACCTGAGCCCAGGAGGTTGAGGCTGCTGTGAGCTGTGATCACACCTCTGCACTCCAGCCTGGGCAACAATGAGATTCTGTCTTAAAAGTAAATAAAGTAACTAATTAATTAACTATCATTGCTAGTTTTAAGCAATAGGATCAGGCTGATTTTTTTTAATACTTTTCACAAATTAACATGTTTTCCATAATAGCAAATATATTATTTGAGAATAGGGGGAAGAAATCACATCTTATTTTAAAATTGTCTGGCACAGAGAGATGAGAGGACTTCTGAGCAAAGGTGTCATGTGTATCTCATCTTCTATTTAACAAGTGCCTTTGTTCAAATCATCAGAGGCCATGAAAAACTGGGAAACATTTTCTTTCTTTCTTTCTTTCTTTCTCTCTTTCTTTCTTTCTTTCTTTCTTTCTTTCTTTCTTTCTTTCTTTCTTTCTTTCTTTCTTTTTTTTTTCAGATGGAGGCTCACTCTGTCGCCGAGGCTGGAGTGCAGTGGTACAATCTCAGCTCACTACAACCTCCGCCTCCTGGGTTTCAGTGATTCTCCTGCCTCAGCCTCCTGAGTAACTGGTATTACAGGCATGCACCACCACGCCTGGCTAATTTTTGTATTTTTAGTAGAGACAGGGTTTTGCCATGTTGGCCAGGCTGGTCTCGAACACCTGACCTCAGGTGATCCGCCCACCTCAGCCTCCCAAAGTGCTAGGATTACAGGTGTGAGCCATGCACCCGACCGGGAAACATTTCTTAAAGAGGTCACAGTCTTTGTCATAATGTGGCACACTCTGTAACTTTAATATGCACAAATTTCTTGATTCCCAATAAGGAAAATATGAAAAAAGTTAATAAATATGCAAAACAGTCATCTGCATAATGTCATAGGTTGCTATCTACTGAATTTACAAAATTATATATAAATTCACTGACAGCTTCTATTCACTCTTAATTGAGACCTTGCAAATTAAAATTTTATCCTAGGACACAATACTTGTCCGTGCTGATTAATTATAGCTAATAACATTACTTTGTAACCGTATTCCACCACTTTAATTCTCTCTCTAAATTCACAAAAAAAATTTATAAACTTTGAAACTAAACTCATTTATTTTCCAAATTTTGGAAATATGTTCATAAGTGACATGAAGCAAAAGTCTGAGCTCATCAAGGAAGTCAAAATGTTCCAATTCTAGGAATTCAGGTGACAGCTATGTAAACCATTAATTTACAATCCCATTCCCTCCAGGTGTCCGTGAGAAGTTCTATAAAATAGCATGAATGTTTCCAGAAACTCAAGACCTGCTCCTCATTTGCTAGGCAAGAACTACTATAGCAGTAAAGCAGAAAATCTGGTTTTGAAATGATTATGGTAGTGACTAAACAATTCCACATGCTATAAGAATCCCGTTTGATATTAGATGTTACCAAATTTAGTTTCAAGTTAAAGATGATTTTCCTTCATGGTTCTTTTTACTCTGCTCTATCCCAATATTTAATCTCCTCCCAGTGATTCTGTGATCTGGGTCTGAGAAAAGATACATAATTTCATTAATTATGATTTTTAAACTGAACATTGCTATGTGTTCAGCTATTTTTCAAAGCAAAACAACATTTAGAGATCAAATTAAGATCACCAAATTAGTGATCTTCACTTTTTGCCAAAGATGGCAAACTCTCTCCACATCTCCTTGGTTTTTTGTTTGTTCGTTTTTTTTCCCTGAGTCACTCTCTGTTCCCCAGGCTGGATTGCAGTGGCGCCATCTTGGCTCACTGTAGCCTGGACCTCCTGGGCCCAATCAATTTTCGCGCCTCAGCCACCTCAGTAGCTGGAACTACAGGCGCGTGCCGCCATACCCACGTAATTTTTGTATTTTTAGTAGAGATGATTTCACCAGGTTGGCCAGACTGGTCTCGAACTCCTGGCCTCAAGTCATCCACCAGCCTCGGCCTCCCAAAGTGCTGGGATTATAGGTGTAAGCCACCATACCTGGCCCACATCTCCTTATTTTTGATCAAGTAGAAAGTGCTAAAGCATCACGATTATGGCTTCAAATTGTCATTACTTCTAGTAATGCCATTTTCATGGGTAGGTGTGTGCATTTCACTTACCCTCCTTCACAAGTGTTCATCTATGACCAAAGAGTTGGACTTGATTTTTGGCTAGATTTGTCTAATATGTGGACAGTTTGTTAGTCAATCTGTATATTGGTATTATCCTTCCTGGAATAATAGAAGTAAGGCTCAATCTCAGGGATGTTTTGAGGACCAACGATGTCAGTAAGAACATCTAAATCTGGCCTGAAAGAGGTAAACAGTTATTGCCAGTGTACCCTATGTAGACTTCACCATGAAATAATTTTGTGCCTTCTTTTTCAGACAATATATGTTCCTCAGAAGTTATCCAGTCAAAAGCCGCTGCAGAGCAAATTATTTTTCCTTTTACTCTCTTATCAATTAAATATTTCTTCCAAGCGGCAAAAAGCACAAGATCACATCTAGGAAAGCAGTTAACCTCTAAAAAATGGGGATATAAACTATTGTGTGTGTGTGCCTATAAATGCTCACTTTCTTAAAAAACAGTTAAGAAATAGTTTTATTAATCTGGAGAAGAAAAAGCTGAGAAGCAATGCCACTCTTAGCTTTCTTGAGAAAGGATCTTGACATGCGGGGGAAGGAAGAGGTAGATAGCCTCTTATTCCATTACTAGGTAGATCTACAGCTAGCTACAAAGGCTGCCTCCCAAGAGTCAAATTTTAGCTATATGTGAGGAAGAACTTTCTAACATCTACAACTACACAATCATGTAATGCTCTGTTTGGGAAAATGATAAGACTCCGCTGGAGTGTTCAGTCAAAGCCAAATAGCCATCTTAAAGCTGTGGTAGAAGACATGGGGAAGAATCTAGAGCTTCTCACTCAAAACAAGGGAAGATGCAAAGTGCCTGGCAAAAGTTGGTAGGCTTCCTTCATGTAATGATAGCCCAAAAATAGGACACGCTAAACCAAATGTGAGGTGAGTGAAGTAGAACTGAAATCCATCCCTCCTCTCTACCACCAATATTCCTTTGTAAACAATACAAAGCCCATATTTTTGTGACTCAAACATTTTCTGGATGCTTTATTTGGAAGGATCCTGGATAAAGAAGCATGAATATGAGTAAGCCAAAAGCAATCAAAGCACCTGATGTTTACATTGTGGAGTAACACATTTTCAAGGAAGAAACTCATCAGTTAAGATTCCTTGTGATTTGTAATTTGTGACAATTCAAACACAGCTTTGTCTATGTCGCTACAGTTTATTTTCCCATTATCTATAGAAAATAGATCAATAAAATTAATGTAAACAAGAATGAATGTAGCCGGTGTTTCAATTTACTTGAGAACAAATTGTTTTCAAACACATTTACAACAACCCAAATGCATACAAACAGTGTGTTAATTGTAAATGAGTCTTATCTATCCATTCAACTAGCTCTAGCAGGGTGTTTATCTGCAGTGTCTCAGTAGCCCCCTTACTATTACTTTATATTATACATCACTGAAAACAATAAAACTGCATTTTCTCTTAAAATGCCTAAGGAGGGTGTATTTCTTCTGTAATATAAACATATTTTTTGATTAAAATTATTCAAAAGAAAATTAACAGACTCACCTGAAGACATATTCAAATATTTCTAATTGTGCTACTTTTGTAATAGGAGCACAGAATGGGTTATTAATCAACCTCATCAAGTTATAAAATAAATCTAAATTCTGTATACAAGTGTATGTGAGAGTGGGAGTGTGTGAATATATGTATACATGTGTGTTTTTGTGTGTGTACCTAACAGGACGGCTGTGTTGTCATTCATTTGCCAAATATTAATCAAATCCCTTTGTATGTTAAGCACTTCAAGGTATTTGGATACTCCATTGAAAACAAACCAACGAAACAAAAATTCCAGTACTTAAAGAATTTATATTCTAATTGGAGGAGACAGACAGTAAACAATAATCATAATTAACAGGTAAGTGCTTTTGAATGTGGAAAATGAAGAGGTTAGGAGTCTGGTTGGGGACAGGTTCGAACTGTAAAATGTGTGGGCCAGGTAGACTTAATTAAGAAGGCAGCATTTGAACAAAGATGGAAAGATGGTAAGAAATTCTATCGTCTGCATATTTGGAGAACGAGCAGTCCAGGAAGAGCACATAGGCAATGCAAAGACCCTAGTGTATTCAAGACATAACAAGAAAGCTAGTTTCTTAGTTTGAATGAATAAAAGGAGAACAGGAGGAAACAAGGTCAGAAGTAAAGGGGTCAGATGATATAGGGCCCTGGAGATGGTGGTAGGATATTGGCTTTTCTCTGAAATAGATGGGTGAAGAGCCTGACTATCAGGCTGGAAATCAGCACATGAATAAGCGATAATCATTTAGTTATTATTATTATTATCATCAAATATTCTATAGGGTCTCCAAGGCGGGATCATTACCCTACTTAACATAAGTAAGTGGAAATGAAATTTTTGTGACTTGCCCGAATTTGAAATGTCAGCTATCGGCAAAACCAAAGTCATAGCCTGATTTCTTATAATGCGCTTTCTTTAGGTGGTAATATAAATAGTTTCCCATCTTCTCAATAATATGACAAGTCGTTTGTCTTAGAGTATGTGTGAAGTGAGAACAGGCCTCATGGATGGCTGGAGTGGCATCTCAGGAAACTGCAAGCAATTCAGATTCCAAGTGGGATGGGAGGCACTAGGTTTCCATAAAATGCTCATACACTTGCTTTCAGAGAAACATGAAGGGATAATTTTCACAGTTCCCCCACTAAGGCTGTGCCTGTAAGCATATCCTCCCACTTGTGGATTTATTTGCCTTGGTGCACTGTGATGTCTGAGGCCTAACTGAATTGTCTGTAAGGTAGTTCTGTACTCAGAGTAGACTACAGGGGGAGCTCATCCTACTAATTTATGGCTTGTCTCATGCACAACCTGCAAAGGATGTTCTTCTAAGGGTCTACATCCCTATGGAGCAGATGTTTCCTCAAGAACACTCACTCCCAGCTGAGCTTTCCTCAAATAACCTTGCTCCTTGGACCTGAAAGACAGCTCTAGTCCCTCATTGTACATGTGACAAGCCCAAGCATGCCTGCTCTGCCATATAGTATCTATCATGATGCTAGTCCTGAAATTACACAAAGGCAATTACAGGGGGACAATGTCTCATCTCTGAGATGGAATCTGCAAAGATATAGGACTCCTCCCCAACCAGGTGGCAGTCAATGCCAGTGAATCCGACTACAGCAGCTGCCAGCTTAACAAAAAAACAAACAAACAAACAAACAAAGAAAAAAAAAGAAAAAAAAAACAGTGATATCTCTCTTTCTTTCATATTGGCAAACAACCCCTGTCATCTCCTCCTAGCTTTCTGATAGCCCACTTAATGGGTCAAATTAGTTGGCTCTTGCTAAGTCTTCTAGTAAAAAATTATTCTTTGCCACTTGTTTTCAGAGTTGCTTTAAGAGGCCCATAGGGGCAGGCAAGTCAGAAAATGAGAACTCTTTAACAAACAAGGGCAAACCTCCCTGTCCCTGATGTAGAGGAAAAGACCTACAGGCTATTAAAAGGACCTCCCTCTGATTAATAAGAGTATTGACCTCTGGTCTAAATCAATTTTTGTGGAAGAAAGAAAATGGACTCTTGGAGAGGTAGGACAGAGTGGTAAAGCACTTAAAAAAAAATAAATAGCAGTCATTTCCCTTCTGCATACACTGTGTACACTGGCATGCTACCCTTCCTAGTGATCTGCAGAGATTCTGACCTGGGGTTTTCCATTCTATTGCACTCGCTGTTGCCACCTGCTGGTGACATATCATGATTGACATACATACATAGTTGGGGGAGGAATTTTTATGGGAAGCACAAATTGCAAACTTAAGGCCACATCAATAGTCTTTATTCCCTGGGGACTCAGTCTTTCTGGAGATGGGAAAATATGTGTCCAGAAAGCAAAAGAAGAGGATGCTACTTATACTTTCCCTTCAAGAAGTTCAATATGTTTCAGTCCTATTATTCCACCAACACAAGAGATTCCTTTACTATCTTTCTATGGGGCAAGTTGGGCATGTATCCTCGTGACCACTACAGATGTGCTATCTTAATCGTGTATGTTGAAGACTAAATGTTTTCAGTGTAATAGAACTTGACCTCAAATAGAAGATTGCTTTTAGTTTCCCTTAAGCAAACACGGAAGGCAAAAGAGAAACCCCCCTGCCTGTTTCAAGGTGCCTGGAGCTGAGAGGTTGCAGCACATCCCATCATTTATGAAAGAGCTCTCAGAAGTATACAGCCCTACGTTCCCAGAAAACCTCAAGGTAAGCAAGTTGTTTGAAGTAAAGCAAGTCTATTTTTTAAAGGCCCATGTCGAGCTGTAATTTGCTGAGGAATAAGAAATGAAAATACGTTTCCTTAGATTTCTCCACACTCATAAATAGCCAATACCATAGTGCATGTTTCCTTGGAAATTCAGACACATTCAAAGCCACGGTGCATAGCTATACATGTTTAACTTGTAAATTTATTGTGATAGAATAGGAAGGTTTAAAATGAAAATACACCAAGTATCAGGAAGTTCAAGAGTTAAAGTCCCCACAGCAACCTTAACACACACTCTCAGTGTATAAATGTCACATCATAAAGAAGTTTAAGAAATTTTCTTCAGTAGTAATGTCCAGTATTGAATATTCCCAGTATGGACAACTTAACACCTATATGTATTCCCATTATGTGTTCTAATTTTTAAAGGGAATTGTGTTTTAATGTAGATATTCATATTTCATTCATTCATTTCATTCATTCATGCCCTGGGTCTTGTCTCTTCTCAATAAATTTTATTTAGGTTATCCCATCCAGTTCCACAGCTTTAAATGCTACCTATATTTGAGATATTCTCTCTCTCTCTCTTTTTTTATTTTAGAAGCAGAGTCTGACTTTGTAGCCCAGGGTAGAGTGTAGTGGTGCGATCACAGCTCACTGCAGCCCCGAACTTCCGGGCTGAAGCAATTCTTCCACCTCAGCCTCCCTAGTAATTAGGACAACAAGCAGTTGCCACCACACCTATTTATTTTTATTTTTATTTTTTGTAGAGACAGGGTGTTGCAATACTTTCCAGGCTGGCCTTGAACTCCTAGCCTCAAGCAATCTGCCTCACTTGGATGCCAAAAGTGCTACGATTACAGGCATGAGCCTCTACACCTGGCCCTAGTGATTATTAAATCCATTTCTCCATTCCTAATTTATCCCCATAATTTTGGAATCATAGCCAATTGCCAACTGTCATCTCTATTGAAAAAAGGGTCTACTTCTGGGGCCACTTGTGTAGCTGTTGGCAGGCCTCCATTTCTTGCTGGCTGTTGATCCTTGCCACACAGGCCTCTCCTTAAGGTAGCTCAAAACTTAGGAGCTTGTTTCTTTCAGAGCAAGAGATCCAAGAAAGAGAGAGACCAAGATGGAAGTCATAGCCTTTATAACCTAGTCTCAGAAGCAGCAGACCATCACTTCTGCTGTACTCTATTGGTTACATTGAGACTAACCCTGGTAAAATGCAGAAGACTTCCAAAGGGTGTAAATACCAAAAGGAGAGAATCACTGAGGGCAAATATGGAAGTTAGCTATCATAGAATCATAGCTCCAGTCTTCACCCTCTATTGCCTGGATACCTGAAATTGCCTTCTATTCCATCTTTCTGCTTCTCTCCTTGCCATCTATTAACCACTCAGCAGCCAGAACTATCTTTTTTAAAACATAAATTATTCTTGTACTTAAAACCTACAATGGCTCCCCATTGCACTTAAAATAAGATCCAATCTCTTAATCTGGTTCCTGCCCAGCTGTCAACCTCATGTTCCCTCACTGCCAACACTGTGGGTATACTTCTGTTCCTCCAGCAAACCAGATTGTGTTCATTTTCCTTTGAAAGATTTAGGTCACAGCTTAAATATGAAGTCTAGAAGAACGAGCCCAAACTATCCCCTCAAAAGTATTCACTCAGCCACTACCATACCCAATTGTCATTTCTGCCCCATTCCCTCTACCCTTCACCACAAACACAAGTGTACTTCATACCTGCTAATAGAATCCTGATGTGTCCAAGAGCAGGTAAAGAGACCTTGATCTTGGGGAATGTGGCCTCCTCTTAGCCACAGGAGATGATTCATGATTGCTCTATATAACAGGCAAGGTAATCCTTTGCTCTTTGTCAACAAAGCAAAAGGATCTAGAAATCTCCTGAAGTCCTCTACTGACCAGTGAGAGGTGAGAGGTTGTCTGTTAGGGGCTGTTCTTCCAAGGGAAAAAAAATAGCAAGTCTAATGAGGAGAGTGTGTCTTGCCCCTCCCACTGCCTTTCTGAATGTGACTCTACTATGAAGAAGTAATGCCTGGAGCTGCAGCAGCCATCTTGTGACTATGAAATAAGCAGCATGATGATGAAAAACCAACATACTAAGAATAGTTAAACTGGAAAATATAAAGAGCTCAGGACTTTTATCTTTGAGCCACTACACCAAATCCTCTTCCACCAACCTCTAGACTCCTTGGCATGTAAAATAATTACATATGTTAATCACTTAAGACCATTGGTCAGAGTCTTCTGTTACACACAGCTGAAAGTATTCCTAATTAGTACAAATACCTGATGACAAAGAACAAGCAGAATTACTGCAGCCTATAATGTTCTTGCTAAAGCAGGAATATTCAACCCATCAGCAACTCCTTTACTTCCTTTTATTCTTGACTTGTAGAGGCAGGATCTTAGAAAGCTGCTCATCTTAGTGACCATGGCATCCATGCCTAAGGTACAACTTGCCCCTTGGTTATCTTTTGACAGCTGTACCTTGCAGAGCACTCATTGAAGAAAATTTAGATGCCTTTACTATTATTCACCCAGGAGGAGTATTTTTAAACCTTCTGAAACTTACTGACTACCTGGCATGACAAGAAGGGCCTGTGCCTTGAAGTTGGAATTTAATGCAATGGTTGGTTATTCAGCTTTATGACAGCTTTTCCTATTCCTTACCACCAGTCTTGATCAATATTCAATTTCCGTATAGTGTCTTGCACATTCAACTGGTCTCCCTATTTGCACACTTCCTCTACACACCCCGGACTTGTCTCCCCCTAATAGTCAGGGTAAGCCCTCTACAATGTAAGTCAGATTACATCACTCCTCTGCCCTGATCTTCTCAGGATTTCACATGTCAGGGTTAAAGCTGAAGTCCTTACAATGGCTTACAAAGTTCTCTAAACTATTGCCCCCCTTTTTACTCTGATCTCATTGCTTATGACTCTTCCACCTGCTTGCTTCTCTTGGATAAATTAGCCTCCTTTCTGTTTTTCAAAGAAGTCAAGTATTCTCCTACCTCAGGCCTTTTGCACATGCTGATTCCTCTGCTTGAAAAACTTTCTCCAGCTACCTGCATGACTTGTACATCATGTTATGTCTCTACAGAAACATGATATTACAGATGAGACTTCTGTTGCACATCATATATAAAACAGCAACAGCTCCACCCCTACACACATAGCACCTCCTCTGCAGCCTTTTAATTTTGGCTTTTTTTTTTTTTTCCAAAAAAACACTTATTACAACTGATACAGTTTCAATATTTGTTCCCACTAAACCTAACGTGAAAACGTGACTCCCCACAGTTAGAGGTGGGGCCTGCTGGGAGGTGTTTGGCTTATCGGGGAAGATCCCTCATAAGTAGCTTGGTGCCCCTCCCACAGTAATCGAGGGTTACTCACTCTGTTCGTTACAATGAGATCTGATCACTAAAAAGCATCCTGGTACCTCATCCCCTCTCTTGTGCTCCCTCTCTTGCCATGAGTTGTCTGGTCCTGCTTTGCCTTCCACTACGACTGAAAGTTTGCTGAGCTCACCAGAAGCAGATGCTGGCACCATGCTTCCTGTATAACCTGCAGAACCATGAGCCAAATAAACTTCTTCTCATTATAAATCTCCCAGCCTCAGGTATTCCTTTATAGCAATGCAAAACGGACTAACACTACAACCTGATTCAGTATCAGTTATTTTTCTATTTGTTTATTGACTGTTGTCTTCCTCCCATTGTCACATAAGCTCCTTAAGAACAAGGACTTCGCTTGTTTTGTTCAATGTGTTTACAGAATTTAAGAAGCATGCACACCATGCAACAGGTACTACATGAATATTTGTTCAATGAGTAAACAAATGAGTAACTTTATCATGGATAGTGAATTCACGTCACTGCTCTCTGACTCAGTGTCCTCATTTATAAAGCAAAAGAATAAAAGTTAAGAGATCTCCATGTTTTTTCCTTGTTCTCTTATTCCACATAAATCAGAGCAAAGGCTGGATTCTAGCTCGAGAACCAAGGGAATGAGCATCGGTCCAGAACCAAAATGGGTTGTCTAGGCCTTCCACCCGCTGAGTTTCTGGGTGGCCCCAGAACACTTAACTGTGTCCTTTAAGTTCTCCACCTATAAAACAAGGTTAACATTTACCTACCGCACAGGGAAGTAGGAAGCATTAATTAATGCCTGTAAAATACCCTGGTATTTCTCAATTAAAAGATTCAATTAGAGTAAATTGTTACTATTAGATAAATTAAAATGATAATTCATACATGAAGCCCAGCTTTAAAAAATAAGAAACCATCATGTACATTGTAAAACAATCTACAAAAAGCTCTACCCAAAAGAAAAGAAAAAGAGTTTTTCTAAGTTTTCATCATCTAACAAGTAACTCAGTTTCAAAGAAGTTGCATGCCAACTTTTACTAACCTAGAATGTTCCCTGGTTGTCAAATCTAGTTCTGTATATGTGACTGAGATTACAGGTCAAAAGTTAGCATTAAAGAGAAAAAGAAGTACATTTTAGCACATTGCCTGCTTTATGTATCTTACCCTTAAAGACCAAAAGAAAAATAGATATTTCATTTTTACTTATTTATTTGAGACAGGGTCTTGCTCTGTTGCTCCAGCTGAAGTGTAGTGGTGCAATCATGGCTTACTGCAGCCTTGAACTTCTGGGCTCAAACAATCCTTCTGCCTCCGCCTCCTGAGTAGCTAGGTTTACGGGTATATGCCACTGAACCCAGCTAATTTTTTATTTTTATTTTTTTTGTAGAGATGGGATCTGTCTATGTTGCTCAGCCTAATCTTGAACTCCTGGCCTCAGGCGATCCTCCCACCTTGGCCTCGCAAAGTGCTAGGATTACAGCATGAGGCACCACGCCTGACCAAAGACACATATTTTAAAGCACAAAATATTACAAAGAAAGCACTAAAATTGCTAGTATTTGTAAAGACAACCAAGATTATTCAAGAAAAAGAATACAGAGAGCTATATTTTAAAATACTAACACTATGAAATAGAACTGAAGCTTTATTAACAGAGCATCCTTTGTCAAGCTAAGACTCTTTATTTAAATAACCTCATTAAAATAAACTTTAAATCATTTTAAAATTCATTCTGCCCAAAGAAAAGGCTTGCCCACATCTTGGCTGCATTTTCAGCAAACTTTTTCAAAACAATTTTTTTTAGTACTATCATGAAAGACAAGGTCATGGCAATGCATCTCCTTCCTTCCCTCTCTCCCTTCATACTCCCTTTCTTTTTTCTTTCAAGAAGGTCCTTGGTCATGAAGGTCCTTAAAGAGGATCTACTTGGCTTGTCTTCTAGAGGAAACCTGGGAGGCTGCTTCTTGAGGACCCAACTGGCCTCCTGGGATGATGGGGTCGATTGGTGATGCCCAGAGAAGACTAAGTTTAGGAGTCAGAACACACAAGGGTGTGTCTGCTCAACAGGTAAAGAAAGGTGATTTGAGTGGAGAGCTAAACCAATTCACTTCTGTTTTCTTTAGACTCTACCCCCTTCCCGCCCAATCTCCAGTTAACCCACTCTTGAGTCACTAAGGATGACACATGTAAAGACTTTTCTAAGTAGCAAAAAAGCCTATGTAAACCTTCAAAATCATTATCACCTGCCAGATCTCCTTTTGGGGAGTGAATTTCATTGGTACCAGATTCAAATTATGGTTTCTCCTCCCAGAAAACAGCACATAAAAATGGAATTTTATGTACAATTTCAGGAGATTTAAAATACCTCTAAGAATCATAGGCTGGGTGCAGTTGCTCACACCTGTAATCCCAGCACTTTGGGAGGCTGAGGTGGGAGGATCACTTGAGATCAGGAGTTCAAGATGAGCCTGGCCAACATGGTGAAATCCCATCTCTACCAAAAAATAAAAAAATAAAAATTTAGCTGGGCACGGTGGTGCACGCCTGTAATCCCAGCTACTTGGGAGGCTGAGGCACGAGAATCACTTAAACCCGGGAGGCGGAGGTTACAGTGAGTGGAGATTGTGCCACTACACTCCAGCCTGGGCGACAGAGACCCTGTCTCAAAAAAGAAAGAAATCATGAATCCCAGACACTGTGACTGGTGAGCACAAGATTAGGAAAACCTACTTGAGGAGTTCTACAAAGGGTCTCCAGTGGTACCATGAATTCCTTGAAATTGTGGACTTTTTCCTAGAAAAGTTTTGTTTAGCTTTCATCATGATAGCAAGGGTGTCTGTGACCTGCTTGAGGTTGTGAATATCTGAGCTCCTTGAAACCTTAATTTTGCTCCCCTTGCCAGAGTCTGATTTTCTTGAGGAGATCGGCATGGCTTCATCATCTTTTTTTATTTACTGGCACATGAAGTGTTTAATAAAGATTTGTGGGATGAATAAGTCAGTTAACCAATCAAAAAAAAAAAAAAAAACCCAAGCTGCTTCAATAAAATATTTATTGCCATAAAATAGTAAAAAAAAGAAAAGTCAACCAGAAACATAGAAAGCTATATATACACAGATAGTCTCATGCATTTTATTCCCGGGTACTTTCAGATATTTTCCAGAATAGGTGTATAAGTCATGTGAAGAATATCTTAGATTTAAGCAGCAGGTTCATAATCAGAATTTCCATGTGAATAGAAGTTATATAGATGACTGACAGCTTCTTAAACTTTAATGTGCATACAGTTTACCCAAAGATATTTTGAAAATGTTGATTCTGGTTGCACAAGTCAGAGTGAGGGCCTGAGAGTTGCATTTCAAACAAGCTCCCAGGTGATGACCAGCCTGCAGACCATACTTGAAGGAGCAAAGACATAACTGAACAGAGGAAGTGGGTGTTAAGATTCTATTTTCTACTCACCGCCTCACTACCTTTGGGACCAGAGTTTAAATGGCATTTATGGATGAATTTAAGGTAAGGAAAAAGTTCATAACAAAGTGACTGAATGGCTGTGTTGTAGAAATGCCATTTATCTCCTCTATGATCCAGTTGAAAGCCAATCAGATTAGATATACAGTCAGACACAGCTTGATTGGATTTTTCCACATTCCACCTAATTATATGGGTATAAAGACAGCAGATACTCCCCTGGTATTTAGGTTTTTACTGAACAAAACCACAATTTTTTTTTTAATCCAACTGTTCAATATGATCATATTGTCAGGGAGGGTAAAGGATCTTACTCAAAATAAGAATTTCAGGGCAGAATGTTGCATACATTATTTAACAGTGTGTTGCCCTTCTTTCTCATTTGTTCTTTAGTAATATAGCCCCGGGACCTTTATCCCCTTTTCTTTTACCCCAGAAAATTACCAGGTGAAGTTCTATTACTCTCACCTTTCTCTTTACAATTTCTCTATGCTCCTAAAATACATTTACTAAGAGAAGGTGTTCATTTTCATCTTATGTACTTATAACTCCCTACATAACTTTTTAAAGTTTTTGAAAGGGCAGATTTTAAGAGCTTCATACTCTTGCTTCAAGTATACATGTTAATGGGCATCAGTAAAACCAGGGTTTCAGGAGTTTTCTTCTACTAGCAGGATCTTTTATTGAAAATAAATTCCAAAGGTTCTCATTCCTCTTCCCCTGTGATGAATTACTCTTCCACTGTTTAAATTGACAAAAGTTTATTTCTAATGAAAGAAACATTTTAATATTCCAATTGACAGTGTTAAACAATGGCATTCATAGTTTACCCATTTTCTTCCAAAGGAGACTTGGAATGGGCCAAGCCTTCATGTCGGAGAAGGAAAGTGGACTGACCACATAAGCACACAGGAAAGAACAGGAGACAAAGGCTCAGGGACTCTGAGCTTGAATCCTAGCACAGCTTGCAATCCTCACACTGTAGAGCAAGCGGCTTCTCCTATGAGTCTCTGTAAATGGTGGCAACAGTTCGGAGTTAATATGAACTCTGGATGAGTCGTTGGTTCTAGTTCCTACCCCGTCCCATGAGACTGTGACAGGATTTGTTTTTCCTTCGTGACTTCAGCTTCTTTATCTGTGAAAGAGGGAGTTGAGTAAGTTGGTCTGTATTGATGATTACAGTTCTAAAAGTTGATTCTGTGGAACCGGACTGGGACCACTGGAGAATGCAGGTCTACAGGGCACACACAATGTTCAATGAGTGCCTACCCATAACAGGGGTGTGAGCAGCCTTATTTTTGCTTCACCTTTTTAAACTGATTGTTGGATGATAGTGCTGCTGGTAAATTTTGCAACCCATATTCCACTGCTTTTCAGACAGTTATTTAAAAATAAAATAAAACAAAGAAACAAAAGACCCTTGCATCAGGCTTGAGTTTACATATAAATACAGTTAGCTTGGTAGATTAATGAAGAACCAGCCAATACAAAAAAAAAAAATCAGACCATACATAAATATAAGGGAGGAAAAAAGCCCAACAACTCCAAATTTAAATGGAAAACATATTTTTTGACAAGAGAACTACTTAGCACAAGAAAGATATGCCTTAACATTGTGACGTCTTGTCCCAGCATCATGAAGTTATATACTGTATAGGTATTTTTTATTTTTTTGCATTTCTAGTAGCTAAAACCACACATTGCTATACTGTAGCTTTAATGAATGGAGTTTTCAAAAAGTTTCTTTCTTGACTGTTTCCCTGTATTATCCTGTTACAGTATATTGGGCACAAGGGGGCACTGAAAGAGTGAACAATTCCATCTGCCATACTGGAACTACCACACCTAGGTGTTCACCTTTCACTCGGCCACAACTGTGGCAGTGGCTTTCTCCCTGCCCTCCTTCCTTTTTTCTTTTTAATGCCTGCAAGGAATGTGTGTAAATACCTTGGTCACCTGAAGGGAAATTCATTTGACCCATAGATAACATCATCTTACATGGCCTTTCTAAGAATATACATGCCACATCGTCATCTTTCATTCACTAAAATGCCGCACAGTGGTAGCCAGAGTCTACCACTTGCCTACCCGATATTCATATTACCCTTCCTTTTTACTAACAGGATCCTTATGTTGTTGAGGGCAGGTACAACTACATTTCCCCACCTCTCTAGAAGATCATGCTGGGTAATAAGATGGAAGAGGAAGTCTTTGTCTGGGTCATCTAAGAGAGTTATCTAAAGGGGGCCTGCTGAACTAGTAGGAATATTTTCTCCCTTGCTCATTCTTTCTGCTTATGAAATGGATGCTATGGCTGGTTGTTGTAGCAGCCATCGTTCTATTCTGAAACAACCATCAGGGAACCATATGCTAATGATGGTAAAACAGAAGGAAAGAACCCGCTAAGACCGTGGTAGGGCTATGGACTTTCATTTCATCTCTGCACTACCTCCTTTCAACTCTCTTGTTATATGAAAGGAAATATATATATCTGGTTTAATATACTATGATTTGGGACTCTTTAGCATCACAATAAAGGTATTTGAGAATGCAATTCCCAAATGATACATCCCCAAAATACCATAGTTATCAATGCAGATTAATTATATGTAGCAAAGGAATTGAACCAGAGAAATTATTGCACTGAGCTTCTCTACAATCCCATGAAAGATGATGCATTACCGTAGAAAGGCATGAGCTAATAAACATCTTTTAAATTTGATTGGACAAATATAAAATAGCAAGTAGTGTTCACTCGTGGGTAGTCTTTTAGTGAATCCCAGTAAATTGCAATTCTCCTCTAAATTACTGTTGTTTTATCTGCAAAGGTAACTGTCCTTGTTAGTAGCTCATTGGATTCCACACTGGCCACCCCAGCGGGAAGAGCAACAGGGTCAGTGCAAAGCTCTGTCCATCTTCACTCTTCACCGGAATGGGCAGGCAGCTGCACTTCTCAGAATTTCCCCTCTCAGTACCCTGGTCAGCAGCCTCACCCTGAATTCTCACCATACCAACACCCTTAGCAATCACCCCATTCTCATCAGGGACCCTGTCTCCATCCTGCTGGTAAAAGAAGACTACAGAAACCAGCAATCCCAAAGCACCTTCTTCTATGGGGAGATCTAGGCTTCTGTTTATTTTCATCACATTGGTTAACTTATATTTTAAATTTCCTTACAATTTGCACTATTCTTTTTTATGTCTTCTTAGTACATGGAAAATTTAATCTATCACAAAAAGTGTTATTAGTCTGTTTTCACACTGCTGATAAAGACATACCCAAGACTGGGCAATTTGCAAAAGAAAGAGGCTTAATGGACTTACAATTCCACGTGGTTGGGGAAGCCTCACAATCATGGCTCAAGGTGAAAGGCATGTCTCACGTGGCAGCAGACGAGAGAAGAGAGCTTGTGCAGGGAAATTCCTCTTTTTAAAACCATCAGATCTCGCGAGACTTATTCACTATCACAAGAACAGCATGGAAAAGACCTGACCCCAGGATTCAATTACCTCCCACCAGGTCCTTCCCACAACATGTGGGAATTCAAGATGAGATCTGGGTGGGGACACAGCCAAACCGTATCAAAAAGAAAACGAATGAAAACATTTTTTAAGTGTGAATCTTTAAATTATCAAAATGTGGTAATATGTTTTTGGGAATCCAGTAAAAAGACATTATCATTGTGAAATATTAGTCATTGGCTTATGGAATAATCAGGAGTATGAGGCTCCAACTATTAGATAACTTCTGATGGAATGCCCTATTCTACAAGAAAATGACAGTGCCTGGCATTACAGGTCTCTTTTTTTTTATTATTTTCATTTTTTATTTTTTTGAAACAGAGTCTTACTCTGCTGGCCAGGCTGGAGTGCAGAGGTGCAATCTTGGCTCACTGCAGCCTTGACCTCCCAGACACAAGTGATCCTCTAGCCTCAGTTTCCTGAGTAGCTGGGACCACAGGCGTGCACCACCACACCTAGCTAATTTTTTGTATTTATTTGTAGAGACAGAGTTTTGCCATGTTGCACAGGCTGGTCTCAAACTCCTGAGTTCAAGCAATCCATCCACCTCGGCCTCCCAGAGTGCTGCTTGGGATTACCGGCGTGAGCCACTGCACCCAGCCTGTAATATATTTTATACAGAATTTGCATCATTAAAAAACTAATTTTTTTCTTTTTTTTATTATACTTTAAGTTCTAGGGTACAGGCGCACAATGTGCAGGTTTGTTACATAGGTATATATGTGCCATCTTGGTTTGCTGCACCTATCAATTTGTCATTTACATTAGGTATTTTTCCTAATGCTATCCCTCCCCCAGCCCCCCACCCTCCAAAAGGCCCCGGTGTTTGATGTTCCCCACCCTGTGTCCAGGTGTTCTCATTGCTCAACTCCCACCTATGAGTGAGAACATGCAGTGTTTGGTTTTCTGTTCCTGTGTTAGTTTGCTGAGAATGATGGTTTCCAGCTTCATCCATGTTCCTGCAAAGGACATTAACTCATCCTTTTTTATGGCTGCATAGTATTCCATGGTGTATATGTGCCACATTTTCTTTATCCAGCCTATCATCAATGGACATTTGGGTTTGTTCCAAGTCTTTGCTATTGTGAATAGTGCCACAATAAACATGTATGTTCATGTGTCTTCATAAAGGCATGATTTACAATTCTTTGGGTGTACACCCAGTAATGGGATTGCTGGGTCAAATGGTATTTCTAGTTCTAGATCCTTGAAGAATCACCACACTGTCTTCCACAATGGTTGAACTAATTTACACTCCCACCAACAGTGTAAAAGCTTTCCTATTTCTCCACATCCTCTCCAGCATCTGTTGTTTCCTGACTTTTTAATAATTGCCATTCTAACTGGTGTGAGATGGTATCGCATTGTGGTTTTCATTTGCATTTCTCTGATGACCAGTGATGATGAGCATTTTTTCATGTGTCTGTTGGCTGCATAAATGTCTTCTCTTGAAAAATATCTGTTCATATCCTTTGCCCACTTTTTTATGGGTTTGTTTGTAAGACCGAAAACCATAACAACCCTAGAAGAAAACCTAAGCAATACCATTTAGGACATAGGCATGGGCAAAGACCTCATGACTAAAACACTAAAAGCAATGGCAACAAAAGCTAAGATAGACAAATGTGATCTAATTAAACTAAAGAGCTTCTGCACAGCAAAAGAAACTGTCATCAGAGTGAACAGGCAACCTAAAGAATGGGAGAAAATTTTTGCAATCTACCCACCTGACAAAGGGCTAATAGCCAGAATCTACAAATAACTTAAACAAATGTACAAGGTAAAAAATCTAATTTTTAACCCCCAAATGCCTTGTTATATTGAAAGGAAATTTCACGGCTTGTGAGAAATAAATCATATCCTACTGTGATTTCTTTAAATAGATAGTGGATATATATTCTCACATTTAGCTGAGGTCCTATCCATGGACACAGTCTTTTAAATTGCAGAGTTTAAATTAAACATAGATAATTGGTTTTTAATTCAAAAGATAATTAAATACTGAGCAGGCTATGTTAAATAAGGTTATAACATTTCAGGCTGGGCTCTTTTAAAGTAAAACAAAAAGCATCAGACATAGGAGACAACCAACCAGTAGTTGATTTCACCCCTAGAGATGCTTTCACCTCTGTATATTTAGTCTGCAACTCAAAACTCATATCTGGATGTAGCTATTAACAGTTTCAGTATTGTGTTTTTCTAATGTTAAGCAGAAAATATGTATGCATACATTATAAGTAGTAACATAAATATTTTCATATTAAAGGTATTGTGTATATACGCCCCAACTAGGAGTAAACACTCATCTGTAGAAGAAACTTAGCAAGGTAACCTCCTCTCCCTCACTTTGTTTTCAAGTGAAGAAGCTAAAATAAAGACATTTTGCACAAAAAGGCATAAGTAAAGCTAGGTATCATGACTACCGTTTTCCCAGTTTGCAGTACTTATTCCATTAGACTCTCTCTATCCAGCATGTAGTCTGCAGACCGACAGCAGCAACATGTCTTGGGGACTTGTTGAAAACATGTAATCTGAGGTCCTATCTCAAACCTACCAAATCCATATTTAAAAAAATTCACCAGGGGATTCATAGGCTGATTGGAGTTTGAGAAGCACTGCTTTATGCTCCACACAATCTAACTGAATTACTACATTTTCCTAGAAGTTGGAGAATAATGCAATCAAAATGTCTCAACTCTCTGAATAGAAATATTACAGAAATTCAAGTTAATGCCAGAAATATACATTTGCATCAAATTTAACTCAGGTGCTGACTTTAAAACGTTACCCTCCATCCAATGAGACTCCACAAATTCTCTTAATCCTCATGAACAAGCAATCAATTAACATAAATTAACATTTGAATGCTTACTATTTTAAAAAGTAAGTAAACCCCAGAAAGATAAGAAGACACAATTAGCCTCACCCACCCGTTCCCTTTTCACCCCTAGGAAAATGCTAGGACACAGATGGTTTCCCGGTGTCTGCATGAAGGTTAATTCTTTGATTCCTTCTTTTGGTCTGGTGTAAGTGTTCTTTAAGCTTTTGTGAAGATCATTGTTATATTAAATACACACCCACACATATTCTTTAGAAATGACGTAAGAGATTTTTCAATGGCCATTTTTTACCATTCTCTATTTTTACTCTAAAAATACACTTGAGAATGTATCCCCACGTAAGCTGCTTACATTTTTTAAAAATGGTCTAAATACTTGTTGGGTTCACTAGTACTTTCTTCTGACACGTTTTGCAGATTGATTTGTGTCAGAGAGCCATAGTTTAGAAACATTGACTCAATAATGAGTCCCTATCATCGATGGCACTAAAAGGGTACAAACTAATCATATAACTCAATGCAGTAGGCAAGTGAGTATGAATGTTTAAACAGTTATTATCAGGGTTGGAGAGGAGGTGGGGATGTTGAAGAAGAAAGAATAAAAAAGTGGTGTGAGAAAGCGAAGTATTACTGGAATGTTGAGACTGCAAATGAAACCCACAGAAGTCAGGAAATTCAAGAGTTAAGGCTCCCGTTGCTCCCTTAATTCAGCCCCTGTTGTTGGGCATACACATTGTGTTTGTATCTTTTATTACCAGATCCCATAACACTTAGCAACACAGCCCACTTAGGACGGTGATGAAGCAGCATATGGCTCCTTATGAAATGAGCTTTAAATATATCCAAAGGTTAACAACTAGTATAACAAGGTACTTTTTCCTATAAAAGTTTAATGTTAATTATAAAATCGGATAACATTGTTATGGTGTGAAATATGTAATACACAAGGCAACACTCCCCTGGGGCATAGTTGGTGTGCGCTGTGTTCACAGTGGAATTCTCCCAGCTTTAGCGTATAAAAGTGAAAATAATTCTTTCTCCCTGGGAAATAGATGAAAATTAGTTAATGTAGCAAAACTTCAGAATCTTTACTTTGCTGGCCTGGCACGGTGGCTCACGTCTGTAATCCTAACACTTTGGGACGCCAAGGTGGGCAGATCACTTGAGCCCAAGAGTTCAAGATCAGCCTGGGCAACAAGGGGAAACCTGTCTCTACTAAAAAATACAAAAATTAGCCAGGCATGGTGGCAGGAGTCTGTAACCCCAGCTACTTGGGAGGCTGAGGCAGGAGAATCACTTGAACCCGGGAGGTGGAGGTTGCAGTGAGCCAAGATCGTGTCAGTGCACTTTAGCCTGGGTGACAGAGTGAGGCTCCATCTCAAAAAAATAAATAAATAAAAAATAAAAATAAATGAAATTAAAAAAAGAATATCTGCTTTATATAAAAATAATAAATTTCAGAGGCTGTCAACTACAGCTAAATAGCCATATATTAGCAAACCAATGAGGGGCAGGAGATGCAGCATTAACAAATGATTTCGTCCCCCCCACCAAAGACAACATTTCTGACTGATTTTGGAAAGCTGTGTATAGTATTATCTCCCTTCATATTTATCATCCTAATGATGTTTCTTCTTGTCAAGAAAATACCTCCCTGAACAAATTCCAGGTAGAAAACATCAGCCCAAGAGTGTGTCCATTTGGAGGGTAAAAACAAAGCATGGTAGGAAAAACATTACAAAAATCATCTGTAAAATGTGGTTACTAAGTCATTGCTAAAGCTCTTGGCTGGCTGAAGTTTGAAGACTAAATTAACCCTTCCAGGAGTGTCTACATAATTTGTGGAGACCAATGCAAAATGAAAATACGGGACAATTGTTAAAAAATTGTTAAGAATTTCAAGACAATGACACTGGAGCAGGAAAGCAAACAGGAGCATTTCTAAGCACAGGGCCCTGTGGGATGCAAAGTCACAGTTGGATTATTTGATTAAGCCAACTTCTCTCCTCTGCCTTGCTTCTGGCAATCATTACTTCTGTTATTCTTATTCATTGTGTTTCATCCTTAATTGTCCAACTAGCCTGTAAACTTTTGTGGGTGGAGACCCTGGAAAGAACATGGACTCTGCAACCAGATGAGTCTTTCTTAGATTCCCAGCCTCTCTCACTTCTTATTTTAATCACACTACTTAATTTCTCCTAGACTTAGTTCTTTCACCTGTAAAACAAGAATAATGTAGTACCTTCAGGATAGAAGTGCTATGCAGATAAAGTAATTCACAGTGCTTGGCCCATTCTAAGTACTCAAAAATAGTAGCTATTCTTATTATCTCATCTTAAGGTTGTTGTGAGAATAACAGGAAGACATTGGAAAGAACTTAAGTGTCCGACAATATGAGATTAGATAAAAACAGGGTAAGTTCAAACAATGGCATATTATAACTGCCGAGGTGGATCTCTAAGTCGGCTTGAAGCAATCAATGACAGCACTACCTAAAGATAGTACACCACCCCGCAGCACAGCAGCACCTGAGAGCTACTCAGGAATGCAAATTCGGAGACCCCACCCCAGACCTACTAAATCAGGAGCTCTGTGGATCATCTGAAGTGCACGGAGTCCTCCAGGGAATTCAATGTGCTCTCAAGTTTAAGAACCATTGCTCTACTACATGAGTTGGGTCTGTGAACAGATAAAAAACATCTATGAGGGGAGAGGAGGAAAACGAAAAAAGTAAAAAAAAAGAACGCCTTCTAAGCTATATTTTTATTAAATTACAAAAGCAAGGTACAGAGGAGTTCCCTAATAGATTTCAAGCCTAGAGATTTTCCTAAATTGAGGCTTATTTCTCCATCCAGGCAGACATTAATGACGGTGCTCCTTAGGCCAGTGTTGGAGAAATCATGGTGACTCCTAAGACTTTTTATCCATTTTGCCTTTGGAAAGAGAGAAAGAGATAGAAATTTTCCTTTTTTCTTTTTTTACTTTCTGTACTGTTGGAAGTTTTTTAACCACACGCATACATATATATATACTCTATAAACACATATTACTCTTTTCATGTGGTTTTTAAAAAATATTTTTGAATACGTTATTTCTGAATATTGTATTCAATAACATCATATTAAGTAATATCTTATTTTTCAATGAATATTTTAAAGTAAGCACACCCAATCTAACTGTGGAAAAAAGCACGGCTCTGGTTAATCAGAATGAGGCCAGTATAAAAGGCATTTGAAAGTCAGGCAGAATCGTGAAGGCTGTTCTTCTAGAAGCAGAGAACAACCACAATCTGTGGATTTACAACCAATGGAGCTGAGCAAACCCTTTTTGCCTGGGGAAATCCTGACAGCAGGGCCTCTAATTTCATGAAATAAGCCAGGTTGACCTCGAAAACTGTTGGCAAGGAAATGACACAGGAGTGAGGGCACTTCACACAATTCTCTCCTTGGGTTTTCATTCTTTTAGGGTTGGTTTCCATGGAAATCTACACCTGCCAGTTCCCTGGGGTCTTTAAGCCTGAGGACTTTGAGGAATCAAGGAGGAAAAAAAGTGGGGACAATGCAGATTTTATAGGCTTAATTCACTTAGTGTTTTTTTATGGAGTTTTCAGAAGCTCAATTGTGAGGCTGCAGAGAAATTCCATTTGCAATATCCCCCTTATTTACCACTCTCTTGCTTTTTGAAACCTTGAAAACATTAGATAGTAAGATTTCAGTGCATAGTTATCTTGTGTGCAGATACGACATTGGGTTAAACGCCAGGAACAGCATTGTTTTCAGAATGTTTTGGTAATGATAAGAATCCCTTTATATTCACAATGAGAAATCCTTACCCAAAGAACCCAGGGACCTTTAAATCTTTAAACCTTGCCTTGAGCCAGAGAAGTAAGAGCACACACTTTTCCTATTTTGAATCCAGAGTGTTAAAGTCACTAAGACAGGTGGTCGCCAGCTGGGAAGCGGTGTGCTCAGCCAGGTGACCTCTGAAAGCCCCTTTTGGGGTAAGAATGTGTGACAATTGTAGTTACAGACTGCAATGGTCTCTGCTGGCCCCTGTGAGAGGTTCAATCCTGATCAGATACGTGGCTCTGTGCCCTCTTTCTCCTCCCACAAGAATTTAGGTTGAGAAAGGATTACATACAGTTCTCCCCACACTGGGAGTGGACAACAGGGTCTTTCAGGGCTGTCAGTCAACGTTGACTGAGCTTCGACTGTGGATTCCTAAGGGGAACCATTAGAAGATGATAGCAAATAAATAGAAGAAACAAGTACCTAAAGGAGCTTGCAACTGTTTAGGAATACACAGTATAAGATGCATCTAACATTTTCAAAGGACAGGGCATTTGTGTTGATTTTTTACTCAACAAAAGTAGCCTTGTTTCTGGAACATTATTTCAATACTGACCAAGAGGTTCATGGCAAGACTGGCATACACACACACACACACACACACACACACACACACACAAATTTTTGATACAATATAAATTTTTTTGTATTTGATTTGCCTGTTTTTTGATTGGTTGAATTTACCTAGAGCTTTTAAAAAATTTTAAGAGTTTTCTTGAGGTCTACCTTAGGTACTATACTTTTCTCACTTTAAGAAATTCAGAAAGTTTCAGTGCATTTCCATTACAGAGTTGTGCAGCCATAACCACAATCCAGTGTTAGGACAATTCTATTCCCCCCAGGAAGATCCCTCATGCCCATTTTCAGTCAGTCTTTACCCCAGACACCCACTGATCTACTTTTTGATCTTATGGATTTCCCTTTGCTGAGGTTTCATATGAAAAGAATCACATATATGTGCCCTTTTGCCTCTGATTTCTTTCATTTAATATAATGTTTTTCTTTTAATTCATCCATATTGTAGCATGTGTCAGCAGTTTATTTTATTGGTGAATAATATTCCATTGTATGAATATACTACATTTTATTCGTTCAATAGTTGATGGGCACTTGGATAATTTCTACTTTTGGACTATTATGCATAATGCTGCCATAAATATACATATAAAATTTTATTTCAGAGAAGAAGGAAACTGGACCCATAACTAATAGCAAATACAAAAATTAACTCAAATGGATTAAAGATCTAAAGCTATCATACTGTTAGAAGAAAACATAGGGCAAAAGCTTCATGACATTGGATTTGGCAGGGATTTCTTAGATATGACACCAAAGGTACAGGCAACAAAAGAAAAAGCAAATTGTACTTCATGAAAATTTCCTTAACATTTGTGCATCAAAAGACACCACCAACAAAGTTAAAAGGCAACTCAAAGAACGGGAGAAAATATTTGCAAATCAAATATCAGATAAGGGATTGATATCAAGAATATATAGAGAACTCCTAAAAATTAACAACAAAAAACAAATAATCCAATTCAAAAATTGTCAAAGAACTTGAACAGACATTTCTCCAAAGAAGATATACAAATGGCCAAGAAGCACATAAAAAGATGGTCAACATTACTAATCACTAGGGAAATGCAAATCGAAACTACAGTGAGATACCACCTTACACCTATTAGATGGCTACTATCAAAAAAACTAGAAAGTAACAAGTATTAGTGACGATGTGGGGAAATTGGAACCCTGCACACTGTTGGTGGGAATGTAAAATGGTGCATCTACTGCAAAAAACCGAATGGGACTTCCTTATTAAAAAACAGAGTTACTGGGCCGGGCGTGGTGGCTCACGCCTGTAATCCAAGCACTTTGGGAGGCCGAGGCGGCCGGATCACGAGGTCGGGAGATCGAAAGCATCCTGGCTAACACGGTGAAACCCCGTCTCCACTGAAAATACAAAAAAAATTAGCCGGGCGTGGTGGCGGGCGCCTGTAGTCCCAGCTACTCGGGAGGCTGAGGCAGGAGAATGGCGTGAACCCGGGAGGCGGAGCTTGCAGTGAGCCGAGATCGCGCCACTGCACTCCATCCTGGGCGACAGAGCGAGACTCCGTCTCAAAAACAAAAAACAGAGTTACTATATGATCCAGAAAATGCAATTCTGGCTATCTACCGAAAATAATTGAAAGCAGGGTCTTGAAGAGATATTGGACACCCATGTTTGTAGTAGCGTATTTCACAATAGCTAAAATGTGGAAGCAATATAACTGTCCACCTGTGGATGAATGGATACACAAAAGGAGGTATATACCCACAATGAAATATTATTCAGCCATTTTAAAAATGGAAACTCTGACATATGCTACAATACGTTTGAAACTTGAGGTCATTATGCTAAATTATATAATTCAGTAATAAAAAGATAATTGCTGTATGATTCCACATATATGAGGTACTTACAGTCATCAAAATTATAGTGACAAAAGGAGAATGGTGATTGCTAGGGGCTGGGGTAGGGGATATGGGGAGTTATTGTTTAATGAATATAGAGTTTCAGTTTTACAAGATGAAAAGAGTTATGGAAACGGATGGCGGTAATGGTTGCACGTTATGAATGTATTTAATACCACTGAACTATACACTTTAAAATGGTTAAGATGATAAATTGTATATTATGTGTGTTCTACCACAATAAAACAATGCTAAAAAAGTTTTTAGGAGAGACTATTTTGGGGACCATTATGTATGTGGGCAATATTTATCTTTTTTATAGTTTTAAAATAATGGCAATGTCATGAATTTAAAAATAAATAAGAAATAACCTTTGAAGTCTTTAGGAGAACTTGTTTTCACCTGTCTTGGGTACATACTTAGGGGAACTACTAGATTGTGCGGTAAATTTCAGTTTTAAAGAAATTGTCAGATTGTTTTCCAAAGTGTTTTCCCGTTTAAGTTCTCATCGGTTATGGATGAATATTTCAGTTTTTCTACATCCTTTCCTACATTTGCTATAGTCTGCTTTTTTGATTATGGCCTTTTCAGTGGTATCTCATTGCAGCATAAATTGGGCTTTTTAAAAAATAACTAATGATGGTGAGCATCTATTCATGTGCTTATTGGCCATTTGTATATCTTCTTGGTAAAATATCTATTCAGATAATTTGTTAATTATTATTTCTTTCTTTTTTGAGACGGAGTTTCACTCTTGTCGCCCAGGCTGGAATGCAGTGGCGTGATCTAGGCTCACTGCAACCTCCGCCTCCCGACTTCAAGTGATTCTCCTGCCTCAGACTCCTGAGTAGCTGGGATTACAGGCACCCACCACCACGCCCAGCTAATTTTATTTTTATTTTTTTATTTTTATTTTTAGTAGAGACGGGGTTTTGCCATGTTGGGCAGGCTGGTCTCAAATTCCTGACCTCAGGTGATCCGCCCGTCTTGGCTTGTTCATTATTTAATTAGGTTGTTGCTTTTCTTGATATTGACTTGTAAAAGTTTTTTTGATATTATGGATGTTAGTCCCCTATCAGATATATGAATTGCAAATATTTTTACCCAGCTTGTGGTTTATCTTTTCATTTCTTAATGGTGTTTTTTTTTGAAGTACTAAAGGTTTTAATTTAAATGAAGCCCACTGCACAAAATTTTTGTTTTATGGATCTTACTTTTAGCGCCATATCTAAGAACTCTTTGCTTATCACAATGCCATAAAGAGTTCCTACTATGTTTCTTCTCCCAGAAGTTTTAGAGTTTTGTATTTTTCTTTTAGGCAGATGATAAACTTTAAGTTAATTTTATGCATGATATGAGGTAGGAGTCTGAATTATTCTTTTTGCAAATGGATAGACAATTCTCCCAGTACCATTTGTTGAAAACTCAATCCTTTCCCCCATTGAATTATTAGAGTAACTTTGTTAAAAATAAACTTACCATAAATATGAGACTTAATTTTTTTACTTTCAATGCCACTCCTTTAATCTATGTCTACCCTTATTACACTGCCATGCTGTCCTGATTACTGCAGTTACCGTAAGTTTATAATTGAAAAATATATATCTCTCAACCTTTTTCCCCCAAAGTTGTTCTGGCTATTTTGGGTCCTTTGCATTTTCATATATAATTTAGCTTGTCATTTTTAAAAAAAAAGTCTGCTGGGATTCTAATAGGGATTGTGTTGAACCTATAGATCAATTTGGAGAGAATAGCAAAAAGGTGGGAGGAAAAAATAGAGTTGTATTGGAATATGTTTCTATATTTTCCAAGAAATAAATTAGTATTAATCTGAAGTAGGTTATAATGAACTAAGGTCTGTCTTGAAAGTCTTAAATCAACCATTTTATATATATATATATATATATATATATATATATATATACACACACACACACATGCACACACACATAACCACACATATATATACATGCACACCTCATATATATATGAAAAAATAAGAAATTAAAATGTTGCACTATTATTTATATATATTACAACTTTATAGTTTAAAAGCCCAGAAATGCAGTTTCATAGGTATTGGTTTATGCAATCTTATATATTTTAAGCCAGTTAAGAGAAAAAAGCAGAAATGTGTATATATACTTAAAGTCTTACACATTTATTGGTATATTTATCTTTTGCCATGCTTTTATTTCTTCATGTGGATTACCATTTTAGAATAATTTACTTTCAGCCTGAAGGCCTTCCTTAAGTATTTCTTGTAAAACACGTCTGCTAGCAACAAATTCACACATCTTTCATTTACCTGGGAATGTCTTTATTTCACCTTTAATTATGACAGATAGTGTTAATGGATGCAGAATTCTTAGTTGACAGGCATATTCTTACAGCATTTTTCAGTATGTCATCCCAGTGCCTCTGGTCTCCTTTGTTTTGAATGAGAAGTCAGCTGTCAATCATGTTGTTGTTTCCCTGTATATGATGAGTCACTTTTCTCTTGTTTTTTCAAGATTTTTTTTAACTTTGTTTTTCAACAGTTTGACTATGATGTGTCTAGGTGTGGTTCTATTTGTGTCTATCCTACTTGGAGTCATTAAGTTTACTGGATCTGTAGGTTAGATTTTCATCAAATATGGAAATATTTAGACAATATTTCCTCATATTTTTTCTGACCTTTTATCTCTTTCTCTTTTTCTGAGACTCCCAACATGCATATGTTAGTATTACTGAGAGTATCTCACGTTGGTATGATTGATAGTTGGCATGATTGATAGTACTCCATATGATTGACAGACTATCCTGGAGATAGTTTCTGAGGCTTTTCTCATTTGTCTTTATTTTTTCTTTCTGTTCTTTAATTTGAACAATTTCTATTTATCTATCTTCAAGTTTATCGATTTTTCTTCCGTGACCCCAAATCTACTGTTCAGCTCCTATAATAAATTTTCACTTCAGTTATTCTACTTTTCAACTGAAGAATTTCCACTTAGTTATTTTATACAATTTCTTTTCTTTTCTGTCTTTTTTTTTTTTTTTTGAGATGGAGTCTCACTGGAGTGTAGTGGCACAGTCTCGACTAACTGCAACCTCTGCCTCCCAGGTTCAAGCGATTCTCCTGCCTCAGCCTCCCAAGTAGCTGGGATTACAGGTGTGTGCCACCACGCCCAGATAATTTTTGTATTTTTAGTAGAGACAGGGTTTTGCCATGTTGGGCAGGCTGGTCTCCTCCCAACCTCAAGTTATCCTCCTGTCTTGACCTCCCAAAGTGTTGGGATTACAGGCGTGAGCCACCACGCCCGGCCTATTTTGTATAATTTCTATCTCCTTATCAAGATGCTCTATTTGATTAGTCATTGTCTTATACTATTCTTTTGTTCCTTAAATGTTACATTTAATATCTGCTTTGAAGTCTTTATTGGCCGAGTCCAATAACTGGATTCCTCAAAAATGGTAGGTAGTGACTTATTTTTTTAAACATAGGTTACATTTTTTCTTTGTATGTCTTGCAATGGTTTTGTTGAAAACTGTACATTTTAGATAATATATTGTAGCAATTCAGGATTTCTATTCTCTCCCCCTGAGGGGGGTTATTTTTGTTGCTTCTCTTGGTTTGTTTAATAATTTACCTGAACTAATTCTGTGGAGTCTGCCTCCCCCATGGTACATAGCCTCTAATGTCTTTGCTTAGATTTTTGTTGTTGTTCTTGCTCTTACTCGTTGAGTCTGGCTTCCTAGAGATTTTCCTTGTGTTAGCATACTCTAGTCATCAGTCAGTTATTGGTCAGAGGTTGTACTCAACACCTTGAGCCAGTAATGCCTCCACCATTTGGTAGTAGAACTGTGTGTGGATTTGGAAATGCATTTAGTTCCTGGCTTTTACTTTCTGGGTGTGCAAAGCCTTATAATCAGCCAGAATGAGTATATAGCTGGTGACTTTTCCAGTCTCTCCTGAGTGCATAGCTTTGCACAGACACTTACCTTTTCAGAAGCCTAGAGATATCTTGGAGCTTATCAAAGAGCACTACAGCCATATCATTCCCTGTCTCTCTCTGTTATTATTATTATTATTATGCCTTATCAGAATTACAGCTTCAAGCTAGTTGTCATGATAGCCTTTCTTATTTGTTTGCCATGAGATCATATTCTTTTCCACAACATTTATGGATGAGGCTTTTCCTATGCACTCTGTTTCAAATCAAGCCATCCTCTTCCAGCAGTGCAGTTACTGGTTTTCTCAACTTGCCATGCCCTAGTAGAACTTCTTCACTACCTGAAGAAATGGTCATGCGGATGGGTTGAACAGGAGCATCCCAGGCTAAAAGGCCTTAGATTTTCATAGTTCTTAACCAAGGTTTGGCAGGATTTTTTGAACAAATGCTTCTATATGTATTTTATACCTTTGGTGGATTTAAGAATTCTGAAATGATTGTTTTCCACAATTTTAATCATTTTTGTTGACAGGATTTACCCTGTTCCTCACTCCTTCTATCTGGAAGAATTTGCCTCTAAAATAAAATTGCATATATTTGAAACTCCAGCAAAGGGTCTCTTGAGGGGAATAAATCTACAAAATATCACTTTATTACAAAATAAAATAAAAATCAACAGTTAACCTGGAGTTTGGAAAACCTAGGAATTAAGATACCTGGGTTCTTGTTCTGGTCCTGCCACTGATGCTCATGAACCACAAATCCCAGTATATTGGTTTATCTAGCTGAGGGTTGTATTCCTCAGCTATCAGCAAAAGCAGCTGGAATTAAATTCTTTACAAGGGTCTTTATAGGATGAATAATTGTACTTAAAATAGCAAAACATAGCTAAGTGATGTTTAAAAGCATCACAGTAACAGTAAAAGTATAAGTGAGACTGCTGCACTAAAACACTCAGAGCACCATCTTGGTAAAAGCCACAGGTGAACATGAACTTGGCTCAGCAAACAGTCAGAGAATGTCAATGTGTCATCAGACCCAGGCACCCATAGCCCTTTGACAGGCTCTTATAGTCAAAACTTTCAACAAATTGTCTGCTTGAGAATATAAATTACAACTAGATAACCACGCCCTAAGTTCTACAAATGAGTAGTATAATATGGCATTTGTCCATTTAAAGACAAAGTTTCAAATCTCTCCTTCTCGCTTAATCACTATGGGCGATAATTTTTTTTTTTTTTTTTTTTTTTTTTTGAGATGAAGTTTCGCCCCTGTTGCCCAGGCTGGAGTGCAGTGGCACGATCTTGACTCATCGCAACCTCCGCCTCCTGGTTTCAAGCTATTCTCCTGCCTCAGCCTCCCGAGTAGCTGGGATTACAGGCATGCACCACAATGCCTGGCTAATTTTGTATTTTTAGTAGAGATGGGATTTCTCCACTTTGGTCAGGCTGGCTTCAAACTCCCGACCTCAGGTGATCCACCTGCCTCAGCCTCCCAAAATGCTGGGATTACAGGCGTAAGCCACCACACCCGGCTGGGCAAGAATTTTTAACCATTCTAGACCTCAAGCTCCTCAACTGGAAAATGTATATAAAATCATGTATTCTCTTGACAGCTAAAAGGATTAAAACAAATGTGGCATTTCAAGTAGATAGTATGCAGAGTATGATACATAAGTGCTCCAGAAATGGTAGTAGTTAGAATTATTTTATATCTCCGGGATGGTCCTGTGTGATGGCAGTGGAGGCAGCTGTTGCATGGAAGATGGGAGTCCACACCAGATCTCTTTCCCCTTTATTAGGTCAGTGCTAGGATAAGTCACATAAGAAACTCCTTCTTGGCTGGGCGAGGTGGCTCATGCCTGTAATCCTAGCGCTTTGGGAGGCCGAGGCCAGCAGATCACTTGAGGTCAGGAGTTTGAGACCAGCCTGGCCAACATGGTGAAACCCCATCTCCACTAAAAATTCAAAAATTAGCTGGGTGTGGTGGCGCATGCCTGTAGTCCCAGCTACTTGGGAGGCTGAGGCAGGAGAATACCTTGAACCCAAGAGGCAGAGGTTGTAGTGAGCTGAGATCACGCCATTGCACCCCAGCCTAGGGAACAGAGTGAGACTCAGTCTCGACAAAAAAAAAAGAAGAAGAAGAAGAAGGAGGAGAAGGAGAAGGAGAACGGAGAAGAAGAAGAGTAGGAGGAGAGGAGGAGGAGAAGGAAGAGGAGGAGGAGTAGGAAAAGGAGGAGGAGGAGGAGAAAACTCCTTCTTGAAGCAAATATTAGTACCCATTATTTCCTCACAAACCCCATCACGTGAGACTGATGGGAAAGTGCAGTGGGATGAGGTGGGAGGGGAAGGAGAAAAGATAGGGAAGGAGAAAAGATGAGAAAAGAGTGGGCACTGAACAGAAGGCCGCAGAGAACTACTGACTTGCTTGGGGTGTTGGAAGAAACAAAGTGAGAGTAAGTGAGGGTGGCAAGAGGCAGGCAGGGAGTACTGATTCTGCCTAAGGCCACCTTGCATAAATCCCATTTCAGTCATCCAAGGGCTTATCCCTTCTCTCTTTCACAACAACTCCAAGCATCTGTGTATCTGTATGACTCACCACTATCTCTTCTCTATCAGCAAAATATGCTGTTTCACTCCTCCACCTTGCTGCCCAAATTGGTCCCAAGCCCAGAGATTTTCCAAAACTGCACCTCATTTATCCTCATTTGCAGGCGGTGGTAAGGATGGTCCCTAGGCTGACAGGTTGCCTGATCTGATCACATGTACCCACTTTGGTGTGTGTTGTATTTTGACATATGGGCCTTTCCACCAAGTATCTAGGAAGCAGCCTATGCAAGTGCATCAGTTGGGGTGATTAGGGATGTATTGGCCTCTGTAACTGACAAGGTCCAGAGAGAGAGTGGGAATCAAGTACAGTTCAATCAGGCTTCTGCTTTGTGTTCCTGTGTCTCCCTTGCCTCTGTCCATCCTCACCTTTATCATCAGACTGCAGCAGTTTAAGGAATCATCCCTGGGCAGCACACCAGACAGAGGAATAAAGGGATTATTTCATCCTCTGGGTCTTTCTTTAGAGAAAAAAAAAATCTTCCTTAACTAGAATCACCTTGGCAACATACCCTTTTGAGCCAATTTCTGTGGTCAAAGGAATACCATATATGATTGGCTACAGCCTAGGTTCTTAAACTGACATTTGGCAAACTTCTCAGAATTTTATATTCACGTGAATCCTCTAGGAATCTTAGTAGATTGTAGATTCTTGTTCAGGAGATTTGGAGAGGAATCTGAAATCATGTAATTCTATTATAACATCCCAGGCAACGTGGATGCTCTGCACTTTGAGTACAAGAGAACAGGGGGGATCTGGAATAGATATGGAAGCCCTGTAAGCTTCATGCAAATGATGACTTTATTTTTATTTACTACTGAATTCCCATGGCCTATAATACCACTCACTACATAATAGGCATCCTATAAATATTTTTTGAATTTTGAAAAATATATTCCAAAAAATTGGAAAATGAATGCATAGTCAGGTAGCAGATCTTTCTAATTCACTATCCCTCTCCAAGCACAGCTATCAACCTTTGAGCCTTTTCATTACCATTTAAAACACTCAGTGGATTCTGAAAGCTAAACATGAATAAAAGATACAACACCTGCACTTTGAAATTGCAGCATTACAAATAAATTCTCTCCTTGAGATTATTAGTAAGACATCAGTACAATGAACTTATTAAGACATCAATATTTAGATAGAGAGATCCTCTTTCTAGGTGCACAAAATTTTGCAATTAGAAGTATTATATAGAAAGAGTACTGAATGTTTGAACATAGAAGTAAACTGCATTATTCTTTGCAAACTTTTTAGCATGCCTTCTCAAACGGGACAAGGTTACATGGCATGAGAAGAAAATGAAAATGACAGAAAGAGTATCGAAATTCCAACTGAGATATAGAAATAAGTGTTGAAATAAGATATGCTTTTGTTGACACAATATCATCTGATTCATTTGAAAACATAAAAGCGTAGGATTTAGAAATGCAAAGACTTCCAATTCTTTTCTAAGAAGTATTTTTGAAATATTGCTCCATCTCTCTAAGTGTTCCTTACTCTTTGCTGCAGTCAGCAGTAGTTTTGATTTCTGAAGAGAGGAGAAATTGTACAGATGCCTTCCTGAATGCCATACAGTTACCTAGAAGGATGGATCTAGAGAGAAACCGTTATCTCTAGACACATACAAAAAAGAACATCGAATGGAGGATTATAAAACATAAATACTCAGACTTATGACCCTGGCACTTGCCGACCCTGGTACTTTAATGAACCAACTGTTCTGGAGTCCAAGAGAGCAGAGGCATCCTCACAGCAGCCAAAGCTAATGTAAACTCTTATCTAGTTTATCTGCTGGTTAGCAGGACTCGGATGGCTGTTACAGGCCCAGTCAGTTCCTGTGAAAGGGCTAATCTGCAATCCCCATTTCCTTAGGTCCTTTCTTTTATCAGGGGAAAATGCATTTATTCCTTCTGGGCTGATTTCTGGAGGTGACAATTAGCCTCATGGAAATGACTGCAAACGAGTAGCAGAGATTTCTTTGTTGACCCTACATACCCTCCTGCCAAGCTTATAGGATGGAACTTCCTTTTCTGCAGACAGTTTATGTGTGGCTGGTTATGTTCATGGCAGAAAGTTACATTGAGTGGTGGGTGGAAGCAGGAGACGGATATCATTATCTGTTCTTTTCCATAAGCAGTCAGTGGTCTATGCCTCAGACAAAGGAGATGCAGGAGAGTCAGGCTCATTGCTGTCCCTGAAAATGAAGGTAACATAGGAGCTTTTTGAACCAGCTGAGACAACTTCCAAAGCATCAACTGAGCCACTTCTGTAGCGGAGAGAATGCAACTTAGAAAAAAAAAAAATCTTGAAAATTGTCATAGGTCCTAGAGGCTGCTTCCTTCAAAGAAACATTTTTCTTGTGCTGAGCTGTGTGGGAAGACCAGGGGACAGAATACAGGACAGAAGCAATTCACTGGATTCCTGAGCCATAGGTAGCTGGGATGGAAGCCCACATCCCTCAGTAAATCCAGGAAAGTTATAACTCTTGACTCTCCCTGGAAGCAAAGAGAACCTTCCATTGGAATGATGACACCTTTATCTCCCTCTGCTCTGCCAACCACCCTCTGCTGGTTTCTATGTTCTTTTGAAGAAAACATGCCATTTGCCACCCTTATTCCTGCAATATATGCCACATCTAAACTCATATGAGCTAGGTGAATCAAAATGGCCATAATAGGAGCGAACTGTAGGCCAGTTCACTTGTCCCTGAAAGGTCTTTCCCATCTTCCCCAGTCTTTGGATTTTAGACTCAGTAAATTTTAAAGTGTGGTGCTAAATGATCAAAACTAAAATAGGGAAAGAGGGCCTATGAATGCTCTATTAGGAAATATATTAGAATTGGGAAAATTTGCTCAGGGAAGTTAATTCCCTGAGCTTATCATTGCCTCTGCAATACTGGAAACATTTCAAGAACTTCAGATAATGGGTTTTAAGGGAGCAGTCTAAAATCTTTCTTGAAATGCTACGCAACCTACAGAAATCCTAGGACCCAAGGGGTTCTGATGAAAGATGAACGCCCTGCAAAGTAATTGGTATAGTTAGGATGTTTGTCCCCTGCAAATATCATGTTAAAAAATAATCCACAATGTTGCAGGGAGTCTGGTGGGAGGTGTTTGGGTCATGGGCATAGATCCCTCATGAAAGACTTGGTGCTGTCCTTGCAATAGTGAGTTCTCACTCTGAGTTCACATGAGATCTGGTTGCTTAAAAGAGTGTGGCACTGCCCCCTTGCTCTCTTGCTTCCCCTCTCACCATGTGAGATGGCTGCTCCTCCTTCACCTTCCACCATGATTGTAACCTTCCTGAGGCTGTCACCAGTAGCAGATGCTGGCACCTTATTTCTTGCACTGTTTGCAGACCCATCAGCTAATTAAACCTCTTTTCTTTATGAATTATCCAGCCTCAGGTATTTATAGCAACACAAGAATGGCCTAATATAGTAATGAAACAGTTTCATCCTTTTTCCTGTTTTTGTGTGAGTCTTTAATCAAGAGAGTGACAATGATTATGAAATGTGCACCTTGACACTTAAGTTTCAGGACATAGTATAAATAATTAAAGTCATTCATTTATAAGATAAGATATAAAGGAGTAACTGAGAAGATTATGTAATCACTTCTGAAAAGTCCTCCTTTAGTAATTTTAAACAGTTACTGCTTCCAAGCCAAAAAAATAGTCCTTTTAGTCTTTTTGTGGGTAACCATTTCTTCCTTTCCCTCTACCAATCAGTAATTTTTTTCCTTTTAGCAGAGAGAGAAAAAAAGAAAAGCAAAATAATAGCTATTTAAAATTGTGAGGTTTTACTTGAAGCTAAGACTGTATTTCTAGGTAACTTTGATCAGGTAAATTACCTTTAAGTGTCTCAATTTTTCCCTTTGGAAAATTGAAATCATTTATCACCTTTTACTCTGCAGATTTATAAGGACATTTGAAGAACAAATAAAAACTATCTGCTGAGACTTCTGTTTCCAGGAAGATGAAGTAGACATACTTTTCCCTATTCCTCTAAGTTCAACTAAAAACCCTGGGCATTATATATTAAATAAATTAAGAATATCTGAAAGGGAGAGAGAGAAAGGCAGGCTAGCTAGGGACATTAGGACTTGAAGAACACAGGTGGTAAGTTCCCTGGTGTTTCTTTTTACTTCATACATCCCAGAGTGGATAATAGAGAAGTGACATCTTAAAAACACCAGTGGACACAGACAAAAAAAAAAGCCCACAGGAAAGCCTGCACTCTGGCCAAAAGACGAAGTAAGGAATAGTCTAGCAAGACACGAAGCATTTAGATAATAACCACTCTACTCAGCCAAATACCACAGAAAGAAACTTCAGTCCTATCCACACCTCTGATAGCAAAAGCCAAGTGAGAGCCCAGGCTTCACGGCAGGAATAGATACTCCACACCTTCTCTCTTGGGATAATGATACCCCCTATTCACAAAGTCAGTGCAAGCCAGATTCAGATCCCAAAATTCTATCCCCACATAGCAGTAACAAAGAGCCCCTCATCCCCTGTCAGTGGAGGCAGAGTGGAAAACCTGGACTCCTATCCCCACCTGGCAGAGTGAAGGTGGCACTTCTCCCCCTTCATCCAGCAGGCCTCCTAAAACACAAGATTTAAATAAGATCTAAAATCCTATAATCCAAACTGTCCAGGTTTCAATAACAAATCACTGGTTATACCCAGAACCAGGAAGAACTCAAACTAATGGATAAAAGGCAATCATCAGATGCTGCCCTAAGATGAGAAGAATTTTAAAGCAGACAGCATAAATTTGCTTCCATGAGCAGTCTCACCCAGGCTTGAAATAAATGAAAGAACAGGAAATGTCAGCAAAAGAATAGAAGATCTAAAGAAGAATCAAATGGAAATTTTAGAACTAAAAATCAAAATAATTGACATAAATAACTCAATGATGGGCTCAACAACGGAATGAAGAAGACCGAGGAAAGAATCCGTGAACTAGAATAAAACAATATAAATTACCCAATTCAAAGATCAGAGAGAAAGCAGAGTGTAAAAAAAAGTGAACAGTTTCAGGTATATGTGGGACTATCACAAAAGATCTTGTCATCAGAGTCCCAGAAGGAAAGGAGAAAAAAAAAAAAAGATGAGGCTTAAAAAGCATCAAAAATGAAATGGCAAAAGATTTTCTAAATATGGTGGAAAAAAATAGCCTATAGACTCAAGAATATGAATGAACCTCAAACAAACCAACAAAAAAAGAGCAAAGAAACAAATTCCAAGACACACCGTGGCCAAACTTCTGAAAACTAAGGACAAAGAAAATCTTGAAAGCAGCCAGAGAGGGGTAAAACAATTCAAATCACAGTGTATTTCTCATCAGAAACCATGGAAGCCAGAAGGAAGTGGCACAATATTTTTGAAATTCTTTGAGAAAATAATAATCATCTAAGAATCCTATACTCAGTTCCCAATGAATAATATCTAACATCTTTTAAAAAGTACCTCTGGCTAACATCATATATAGTGATGAAAGACTAAATGATTTCCACATAGGATTAAGAATGAGGCAAGGATGTCCACTTTCACCACTGCTGTTCAACCTACTGGAATTTCTAGCCAGTGCAATTGACAAGAAAAGGAAATAAAAGGAATACAGGTTGGAAAGGAAGAAATAAAACTGTCCTATTTGCAGATGACATTATGATGTAAATAGAAAATTCCATAAAATCTACAAAATCACTTCTAGACCTGATAAATAAATTCAACAAGGTCACAAGATACAAGGTCAACATCCAAAAATCAATTGTATTTCTATATATTAGCAATTAACACGTTGAAACAAATTTAAAATACAATACTATGTAAAAACCATTAAAAGAGAGAGATAAAATACTTAGTTGCAAATCTAAGAAAAAATATGGACAGGACTCTGATACTGAAGACTACAAAATGCTAATGAAAGAAATTTAAAAATTAGAAATAAATGGAGAGACAAAGTGTTCATGTATTCAAACACTCAATGGAGTAAAAATATCAGTTCTCCCCAGACTGATATGCAGGTTTAACAGAATTCCAACAAAAACCTAGTATGGTATTTTTGTAGATACAGGTAAGATTATTCTGAAATGTATATGGAAAAGCAAAAGAACTGGAATAACTAAAACTATTCTATAAAAGAAGAAAGTGAGGGGAATCACTGTACCTTATTTCAAGACTTACATAGCTATAATTGTGAAAATGTATGATACTATTGTATCGATTGATTGATTGATTGTAGAGACAGGGTCTCACTTTGTTGCCCAGGCTGGTTTCAAACTCCTGGGTTTGCACAATCCTCCTGCCTGGGTCTCCCAACATGCTGGGGCTACAGGTGTGAGCCACTGCTCCTGGCTGAAAATGTATAGTATTAGCAAACAGATTGACATATAGATCAATAGAAGAGAATAAAGAACCCCAAAACAGCCCCACTTCGATATGAAAAACTGATTTTTGACGATGGTAAAATTCAATGAAGGAAGAACCTGTTTTTTCCAACCAATGGTGCTGGAGTAATTGGATATCCATAGGCAAAAAGACCCCTAAACCTTACATGTTATATAGATATTAACTCAAAATGGATCAGGATCATAGATTTAAATGTAAATTAATAAAATTTTTAGGAAAAACATAGAAAAAAGCCTTCAAGACCTAGAACCTGGCAAAGAGTTGTTAGACATGACACCAAAAGCAGAATCCATAAATGAAAAATTGATAATTTGATCTCATCAAAAATAAAAAAAATGAAAAAGATTTGTAAAAGATCCTATTAAGATGAAAAAAGACAAGCTACAGACTGAGAGAGAAAATATTTGCAAATCACATATCTGAGAATAGATTCATATCTAGATTATATAAAGAAGTCTTAAAACTCGTTAAAAATAAGCAATCCAATTAGAACATGACAAAAAAAATGAGGAGATTTTTTATTGAAGGAAGTGGCAAAAAAGCACAAGGAAATATGTTCAATATCATCAGGCATTAGGAAAATGGATATTAAGAACACAAGCTACACAACTTTTGGCATAGTTAAAATAAATAGTTACAACACCAAATGCTCACAAGGATACAGAGAAACCGAGTCTCACACATTGCTGGTGATAGTAAAATGGTATTGTGGGAAAGTGTATGATGTTTTCTTAACAAAACCAAAAATGATATTACCTTATGACCAAGCAATTGCACACGTGAACATTTATTTCAGAGAAATGAAAACTTACATCTACACCAAAACCTGATTGTTCATAGCAGCTTTAGAACCATGTTTGCTCACAGTAGCTTTATTCATAATAGCCAAAAACTGGAATCAGATCAGATAGATGCTCTTCACAAGGTGAATGACTGAATAAACTATGATACATCCATATCATAGAATAAAAGGAATGAACTACTGATACGTGCAACAACCCGGATACATTTCAAGGGCGTTACGCTGAGTGAAAAAAAAAAAAAGCCCATCTGAAAAGGTCATATACTGTATGATTTCATTTATATAATATTTTCTAAATGACAAAATTATAGACCTGGGGAAAAGATTAGTGGTTGCAGAGGGTTAGGGAAGTTGAAGAAGAAGGGAGTGGGAATGGTTATTAGGGAGCAGCACAAAAGCATAAAATAGATCTCTGTGATAATGGAATACCTTGATTGCAGTGATGCTTATACAGATCTAAACACGTGATTAATGCCATGGAAATAGGCACAATTGTACCACTGTCAAATTCTAGTGTTTGCTATTGTACTATAATGATACAAGATATAACCATTGGGGGAAATTGTATGAAAGGTACACATGAATCTCTACTGACTTCAAGATTAAAAATTAAAAAGAAAAATTGCCTACTTGTACTTCCACCTTCTTTTTTCTAGTTTCAACTGAGAAAAGCCAGTCTTTCCTCCAAGTATTCTGAATCCATCTCCTCTAACCTTCTCAGATACTTGGATCTATTTGAAATATTTTTCTTCCCCTGTTATTATCAACCTTTCCCTTTTTTAGGATATAGTTATGAATTAATAGCTCACATTAAACAAACATGCACTTATACACAAACTTCCCTCAAAATGCTGCCTTATCACTTTGCTATATTTGCAGACAAACATCTTCAAAGAATTGTCCATGTTCACTGTCTCAATATTTTCACTCTTCACCTTTTATAGCCTGGCTCCTGCTCAAAGCTCTAATGGCTCACTTAAATCAAGGTCACAAACCCCTGTTCTTCCTGGAGATGTCAGTAGCACTCAATATTGTGACTCTGTCCTCCTTTATGAACAATGTCCTCCCGTGGTTTTCATGGTACCACACTCTCTAGGTTTCCCTGTGCTCTTCAGGCCACCTCTTTTCAGCCTTTTTTCACTTCTACTTCCTCTATTGACCTCTAAATGTCAAAATTCCTCAGTGTTTGGTCGAAGCCCCTTTTCCTTTTTCTTTCCTATTCCATTTCCATGGCTTTGGTACTGATATGCTGATAACTTCCAAATTTCCATTTCCAACCTAAGAGTCTCCTCTGAGTTCATCTCACATACCCACTGCTTACTTGACAATACCGTTTGCATATTTCACAAACATCTCAAGTTCAACATGTCCAAGCTGAACTCATGATGTTTCCCTAGCATCACGTTCTTCCTCCATGCTTCCCCTCCTGAAATTATGATAGCTGAAACTGTGATAACATTCATTGTGATCACTAGTCACTAAGTAGCTCAAATTTAAAAAATCTTAAAAATTACGTTTAGTTCTTCCTTTTCTTTCCTTGACATGTCTAGTCCATCAGCCAGTAATGTCAAATATACCTCTGAAGAAGATCTCAAATCCACTCATTTCTCTCCATCTTCCTTACCACAAATCTAATACAAGCACCATCTTTTTGAAGCTGGAATGCCGCAAATAGCTTATGCATTAGTTATTTCTTAAGTAACAATTTACCACAAGTGTAGTGACTTAAAATATAATAACATAATTTTTTTTTTTTTTTTGAGATGGAGTTTCACTCTGTCACCCAAGCTGGAGTGCAGTGGAGCAATCTTGGCTCGCTGCAACCTCTGCCTCCCAGGTTCAAGCAATTCTTCTGCATCAGTCTCCCGAGTAGCTGGGACTATAGGTGTGCATCACCACGCCCAGCTAATTTTTTTTTGTATTTTTAGTGGAGACGCATTTTTGCCATGTTGGCCAGGCTGGTCTCGAGCTCCTGACCTCAAGTGATCCACCCACCTCGGCCTCCCAAAGTGCTGGGATTATAGTCATGACCCACTGCACCTCGCCAAAATAACATAAATTTGTTATCTCACAGTTTCCATGGACAGAAGTCTAGGTGTGGCAGCTGGTACTTCTGCTCAGGGTCTCACAGGCTGAAATGAAGGTGTTGACCAGGGCTCTCAGCTTTATCTGAGGACCAAGGTCCTCTTCCTTGTTAACATTTATTTCCTTGTGGCTGAGGGCCCTGCTTCCTTTGGTAGCTCCTTGCTAGGGACCAGTCTCAGTTCCCAGAGGCTACTCACGGTTCCTTGCCACATGGCCCACATGGGTAGTTCACCGTGTGGCTCTTTGCTTTCTCCCAGGCCAGTAGGAGTACTCTCTCTGCCTGTTCACTTTCTTTTAAATATCTCACCTGGTGAGGTGAGGCTACACAGGATAATCTCCTTCTGATTAACTCAGAGTCAACTGATTGCCTCCCATCGTATTTACAGGTCAGCTGCTCTCAAAGGCAAGGGTTCTGCAGAGTGCATACATCAGAGAGCAGAAATCTTGAGGGCCAGCTCAAAATTATTCCTACTGCAGCTTCCTAATCATTCTCCATTTCTCCTTTCCTATTCAATCTATTCTCCACGAGCAGTCATGGTACCTTTTAAAAAAATTCATTACATCTCATTTCACCCTTGTTTCATATGCCTTAAATAACTTTCCAGCAGATTTAGAATAGCAGAGTGATATGATATGAGCTCTGTTTACCTTCTGGTCTTATTTTATTCCTCTCTTCATGATCAAGATGCTCCTCCTACCATGGCCTTCTCCCTCTTCCTCACTGACATCAAACTATTTCACTCCATAACATTTTGGGGGCACACAGAGGCTTGGAATGCTCCCTTCTGCCTACCTTCGCATATCCAAACACTTGGCTTAGCAGGTCTCTTTCTCTTCCATGAACTTCCAGCTTGCTGACTTCCTCGGAGGGATCATCCTAAATAGGTACCTGGTATTTTCTAGCTCAGTGCCCTGATTCCTTTACAGCATATTGTGTTTAGTAATTATTCACTGATCAGTATGTTTACTTATTTATTGGTAAAGACTGGTTTTTTTTTTTTGTAGATTCTCAAGAATATTAGTTTTGCAATTAATTAGTTGGTATTTAAGCTCACTTCAAAAGGTAGTTTAGATTGGCACCACACCTGCTGACATGGTAAATCTTGAACCTAAATATTTCAAAAATATAAACCCAGCCTACAATTATTTTTCTTTTTGACTCCAAAATTTTAACATGCATATCAGTATTCTGCTGATTTATATTTTTCTTGTGTTTCCTCTCAAGTGAAAGAAGTTTCTATCAAGTTGTTGGTGTTATTCATTTAAATGTCCCTGAAATATAGGGAGAAAGGTCCATCTTACTTTGTATTTTTCTAGAATAGGGAGAATTCTGAGTGGTAGTTATTATATTATGAGTTTCTTTTCCTCTGGGAAGTATCAAAACTCAAAAAAGGAGAAAAAAACCACAATTTCTAGGAAAGAAACAGACATCCAATAGTCAACCTTCCACAAAGGGCCAAGGGAAATGTTTTGTCCATCTGCAAATAAGACAGGTACTATAGGATGAGTTTTAATATCATAAAGGCTTTCCCAAAATAAATGTTCTCTAGCTAGGGAGACAGCTTTAGGACAAAGAGGGGATAAGGAAGACCAAGGACTTAATTTAATCCAGATACCAGTAAAATTCCCTATACACTAAGACAGTAGAGCAGGGAAATATAAAATGCTTCCACATGTATTCTGAAATCTAGGAAAGCAGTCTCCTCTTCTTAAAATCTCCATTGATTAAAAAAAGAAAGGCTGCTCAAGGGTATGAAGAAGGGGCAGTGGTAGGCGAAAGGCTCAAGAACCACAGTCATTCCCAACCTGCTCCTATGGCCTCCTGACTTCTGCGGCACAATTACGTCTTTCTTCTCATGCTTATTACTGAATCCATGGATTCTGCAGGAGCTCCTTTGCTTGGGAAGAGAGAGGAGTTAGAACTCCAGGAGGCTATTCTGCTGTATCTCAAAAAATGAATTATGGTTAATGATGGGCAAAGTATTCAAATTGTTAGTTCTAATGAATGTGAAGTTCAATTGGAGATTTTGTTATTCAGAGACTCCAACAGAACCAAAAGTTTGTTCTACTCTGAAGACAACTAGGCCATGAGCTCAATCCCTTATAGAAACAGTTTTTTTTTCCTGTTTTCAAATGTGGTTGTCAACATCAAATAAAATATAGAGACAAATCTCTAAACTCAATATTTTATTTGGGAATCATAGAATTGCAATTTGGGGCATACACATAGACCATGGTGGTCTCTGTTGTGTCCAAAGAACAAAGAGAAGGTTGGGAGTTTTATTAAAAAGAGAAACGTTCTGTATTGTGTTGAAAAAAAATGCTCATTAATATTAGCAAGTTTCTGGGAGCTGGCAAGCTCTGATTAGTGAGTGATGGCTTTAGGTAAAATTACTCTTAGAGTCATAGTGGGTCACTTCAACAGCCGTGAGGTAAAACTGGTGTTAAGGTTACAGCAGCCCCTTTCAGTAGCTGGGTTTGAGGATAATTCTTGAATTGGGTGCTATGTGCCCCAAGTGCTTTTTTCCCCTGGTTCCTCGATGCTGATTTAGTTAGATATGATGAGAATAATCCAAATTGTGTCATCGACTTTTAGATGGTAAAGGTCTGTGGAGGTGAAATATATGTCACAAATTTTTTGACAGTCTCTTCAAAAGGTGGGGTTCAGTCAATACCCCTTCCCACTTCCCTTGAGACTTGACTGGATTTAGTGGCTCCTAATAGAATAAGGTCAAAGTGACAGTGTTTGACTTCTGAGACTGAGGCAAACAGGCTTTGTGGCTTCCTCTTTATTCTCTCTTATTGTTTAATACTGCAGGGAGATTAGCCACCGTGTCATGAGGACACTCAAGCATCCATATAGAGAGGCCCATGGGGGACGGAACAGGGGCCTCTTGGCAACAACCATGTTGAATGAACCATCTTAGGAGCAAATCTTCCAGGCCTAGCTCAAGTCTTCAAATGACTTTAGCTCTGGTTGACACCTTGGCTGCCATGTCCTGAGAGATTCTGAGGTAGTAGTGCCACCCAGCTAAGATACTCCTGAATTCCTAACCCTTCGAAAATACGTGAGTTGATAAAAGCTTGTTTTAAACCACACAGTTTGAGGTAACTTGTTTTGCAGTAATAGACACCTAATACAGGGTCCACTTACTCAATTTTCACTTTATAAACCATATTTACTTTGAACAATGATACATTTACAAGCATTGTCTCATCCGTTCTAAAAAATATCCTATGAAATAGAAAGCACTAGAATAATCTGTTTTAAAGGCAAAGAGATTGAGGCTCTGATAGGTTAAACCACCTCCCGAAGGACATGCATTTAGCAACCTGCAAAGCTGGAGTGCAACACAGACTTCCAAAACGTGAAGCCAGTTCTCTTTCTACCATGTCGATGGCTCCCAGCTTTTTCTCTGCTAAGACACAGTAGATGAACATCATTAACCTTTGTCGGGGTCCTATAGCTATTCGCGAATTTCTATGTAAGTGTTGGCTCTACCTTCATCATTTTCACTGTCACCTGAGAAACTCCATCAGTCTGGAAATGAACGCAAGTGATGCGAGTCCACTCTAATTTATTGCTCTAACTAACCACTGTCCAACAGAAACATAATACTAGCCATACGTGTAATTTAAAATTTTCTAGTAGCTACATTAAAAAATAAAAGGAAATGATAAAATAAATTTTAAAAATACATTTTATTTAACCTACTATATCCAAAATATTACCCTTTCATTGTGAAATCAATGTAGCAATTCTTAATGTGTCATCTTCCATCTTTTTTTTTTCATACTAACTCTGAAATCAGGTGCGTATTCAACAATTACAGCACATCTCAATTTGGACTAGTCACATTTCAAGTGTTTAATTGCCTCAAGTGGCTAGTGGCTACTGTTTTGCACAGTTCTGTTCTAAGGATATCATGCATAAAATATGATACTTCATTTTAGTATAAAATGCTGAGAGCCACATCTCACAACTAACTTGAGCATGCAGGCAAATACTGAGAACTGGAGCACCCTACTTTCCGTTTGCTTTTTCCCTTCCTAATACATTCTCCTGGAGAACAGAACTGGAAGACAGGAAGGATGATGGGGAAAGGATCCTCTGTGCAGAGATCTACCATATCCTCTTTATTATAGTCATCAGAATGAATATGCAAGTTTCCAGTGGAAATGCCTAGACTCCTGAGAATGTTCTTGGCATTGTGCAATGGCACAAAAATATCCTTGCTATCCCGATTTAGAATAATTATTACCTATTCATTAAAGTAAGTTTCTGAGCATCAGTTCATTGGTGTTGTTCTGCAGATATGCAAAAAATTATGAAGTGGGAGCTGTTGGATGAATCACATTTTTTATTACAACCCATTATTATATAGCAAATTTCCCAGTTACAACTGCATTTAATATCAGAAAGTTAGCGAGAATAACTGTATGTGTGTATTTTTAAGTTATGACAAGATCCTTGTGCCAGCCCAGGTTTTTCCTCATCCATTCAGCAGAAGTCCTACAATACCCTCAGTAAAACTATTCAGAAAGATCTATGATCTTGGGCAGGATCTTAGCTCACAAGATTCATAAAATACCTATGAGAAAGACTGCCCTCACTTAATACTGCTACAACGAAGACCAAGGAGGTAAATGATAGTAGGGAAGTATTTGCTGGGGTGACATTTTCACCCAGTTTTCTGAGCAATTCAATATAAGAGAAAGAATAAGAAGAAACAGACTGGCTGATAGTCGGTCAACATTAGCGAGATCAACTGGTGTACGGGTGCAGTTGGGAGCTGGGAAGGGAAGGGTGAGAGAAATGCCCACTCCTCCCTTTCTTTCTTTCTTTTTTTTTTAATCAACCACGAGTACATCTTCTGTTTCAGAGGGAAAATATATATCCACCTAGGGAATGTTTTAATTTCCTAAAAAGTAAATAACTGTTTCAACCTTTTAAATTCCATATTAAATTATCAGTGAGTCATGAGAAAAATGCTAATGTTAAAAATTAAAATCAAATGAATCACTGTTTCTGGCTGCAGAGGAGAGGCGCTTTGGTCCGTGCTTACACCCCGCTGAAGCCAGTGGATTTCCAGCTCCCTCCCCGCCCCCACTACCCCACCCCCAGCTGGAGCAGCCCTTCTCAGCATCCCAGAACTGGTGTTCCAGGGATGGGAGGAGAGCCATTTCTCCCTCACCACCAGCATTTTCCACGAGGGAAGCCTGTGAAATGACTCTTCCTCCCAAGCCGAGTCGCATTACCATGGAAAAGGACAAACACAATAGGATCCTGTTCTGTGTCCAAACTGGCCGCTCACAGGAGATCTTAGGCACAGCTTCAGTCAGGTTTAACAAACGCTCAGGTTTGCGATGACACAGGACCACATTGCTCTCACTTTGTAGCAAATAAGGTTGACTTTTTCAGCTCCTCTTCCCCTAGCACATTTCCTTATCTCCACAAAAGTTCCTGACACCCGGAGAAAAGGAGAGAGAAACAGAAAGGGAACTGGGCCGGGCGCGGTGGCTCACGCCTGTAATCCCAGCACTGTGGGAGGCCGAGGCGGGCGGATCACGAGGTCAGGAGATCGAGACCATCCTGGCTAACACGGTGAAACCCCGTCTCTACTAAAAATACAAAAAAAATTAGCCGGGTGCGGTGGCACATGCCTGTAGTCCCAGCTACAGCTACTTGGGAGGCTGAGGCAGGAGAACGGCGTGAAGCCAGGAGGTGGAGTTTGCAGTGAGCCGAGATCGCGCCACTGCACTCCAGCCTGGGCAATAGAGCGGGACTCCGTCTCAAAAAAAAAAAAAAAAAAAAAAAATGAAAGGGAACTGAATGTAAAATGAAAAGTATAGGATAAGTCTAGTCACACTGTTTGAGGATTACGTAAGTGATGGGGACAAGATTAATGATACCAATTTCTACTCCTGCGAAAAAAGGACCACCAGGTAACTTACCTTATCACAGAACAGCACTGTGGGTCCTGGGATCCGTTGGGACCCAGAGGTCAAAACCTCACAGACCCATTAAACAGGAGACTTCCAGAAAGTTGCATTTCAGCACCAGCTGCCATTGGACGAAGGTTCTTATTTTCACATCACGGGGACTGAAACATTGCCACTCCTTGAATTTTCCAGAAATAGTACATAAAACACAAACTTGTCCCCTCCCTCATAAAAGTTCCTTAACTAATCTTCCCATGATTCATGGCAGTGTCACAGTTTCAGTGTCCTTTCCCTCTTGGTTCTGGGAATGAGAGTGCTTTGCAACATTGCCTGCCATGTACAAGAATGCACCTGATTGTCTTTTAGGAATTTCAAGCAGCCCTCTCTCTGCTCCTTGTACCAAATCCTCAATAGTACCTTAGTGCACTCGAAAGCACACCAAGGGTGAGGCTGAACAAAGGCACAAAAGCAGTGTCCTTACAACAACCTGGCCTCCACCTGCCTGTGCCATCAAAAGGGCTTCTCAGGCATCAGGGTACTCACGAAAGAGAGAGAAGAGTTGGAGCTTACATGTAGATGTCTAATATGACAACCTCCCAAAGATAAATTTCCACAAAACATAATATTCATACAAAATCTGATACTTGTGTGTCAGGCAGAAAGATTTTCCTTTGGGCACCTGTTGGTGAGAGGATTCTAGAATTCTTAGTCTTCAGTTCTCTTTCAGCTGAGAAGTGTTCTTTCTCCAAAGTTCAATAAAGAGGAAGCCTTCAAAAGGAGCTTCTGGGCCCTGCTCTATGCAGGTAAAATGCTTCATACCATCACCAAGAAAGGGATGATTGTGTTGTTTAATTGTATTAAAAATCACTGTTCTGGGCTGGGTGCTGTGGCTCATGCCTGTAATCCTAGCACTTTGGGAGGCCGAGGTGGGCAGATCACAAGGTCAGGAGATCGAGACCATCCTGGCTAACACGGTGAAACCCCGTCTCTACTAAAAATATAAAAAATTAGCCAGGCGTGGTGGCGGGCGCCTGTAGTCCCAGCTACAGCTACTTGGGAGGCTGAGGCAGGAGAATGGCATGAACCCAGGAGGCGGAGCTTGCAGTGAGCTGAGATTGTGCCACTGCACTCCAGCCTGGAGGACAGAGCGAGACTCCGTCTCAAAAAAGAAACAATCACTGTTCTGCTATTGAAAGCAGCATTGACCTCACTTTTATATATACATACGTGTCTGTATGTGTTTGTATGTGTATGTATATATATTTGTATATATGTATATGCATATTTTTAACCAAAAACCACCCCTAACTTCTCCATTTCTCCCCATTTTCTAGTATTCAGCTGAGCTATCTTGTGGCAGCAAACACGCTCCACATCCTATGAGATTAGGAAGTATTGAAATATTCTCCTGAATCTGTTTTCCTATTTCTATTTAGCTTATCGATTGACTATTATTAAGTTTGTAGTCTGGTTCACTTCAGGGCCTCAGTGTTTAAGCATAATTATTTTCATGGTTTGTAATATTATAATATTGACAATACTGATATGTCCTGGAGGACTGTAGGTTTACCAGTTAAACCGAGTGATTGAACAATTTCTAAGTCAGTTAGTAAGATTTCCTTCCAGAGGAATATTTTGTCAAATTTACATATATAGGCCAGACAGGTTTCAGAAGATCCTAATTTTCAAGAGAGTCTGTGATGAGCACACCTCAGGGCTCCCTAATTGATCCCCATGCCAGGAAACCCTGCCTGGAAATGAACCAGGAAAGTAGCTGAGGTTTGCCATAGATGTGACTTAATTCCAGCACAGCAGACCCCACAAAGCGGAGAGCCAAAGATTCAGCATCTCACAGAATGAATGAGAAAGAATGGAAGCCCTCAGTGAGGAACGCATGTCAGCTACAAACTGTGTACACATGCAAGATGAACTTGTGAACACATGTCTAACTTGGCATATCTATAAAGATTGTGTATTTATAACATGCTCCTGAAACATCTTACCGAAATGAACAAATGACTTTGATTTAAAATTAGGCTTTAAAGAATTAAAAAAAAAAAAACTTTTCCAGTACTATCTACCAAAAAAGCAACGGTAGCTTCCTGGAAACAGTATTCTCCACACACTAAAGCCTCCACACACTAAAGCCTGTATATCTGAATGGTGCCTCCAAAAGCAACCTTTTCTCTTCCTCCTTGCCTTGAAACAATTGAAGCAGCTGGGAGCTGGAGCTCCACTTTATTAGTGATTTAAAACACACCCTTGGAAACTGGCTGGCCTTTTTTTTTTTTTTTTTTTTTTTGTCAATCCAGGTGGGAAGCGTGCTCCCTCAAATGGGAACAACACTTAACAAAGTTCTCAAACAGATAATGCCTTAAGAGCTAGACTTCAAAAAAATCTTCTACCAGCCATCTAGCCGACAAAAGCAATGGTAACCTGGTAGGAATACTAAGCCCTCCATAGAAAGACACAGATAAAATAATTCAGCCGCCAAGATTTGGCATCTTTAAAAATGCCTTTTCAATCTTTAACTTTTGTCTGCTTGGTCGTCTAGCAACCAAGTGCCGAAAAGAGACTCCACCCAAAACAAAGTGAAACAATACAGACACTTAACTTCATGAGTATGTATGCGTGCACGTGTGTGTGTGTGTGTGTGTGTGTGTTAGATTCTCAACATGCAAAGATAGCAACTCATTTTGAGACAATTAAAACAGAAAAAGTCTCAATTGTAGATATCAGGAAAGGAAGTCAGGAGTGAGTAAAAAGCAATGAGAAAATGTGTAATGCAGGATGAGGGTATAGTTTCCACACACCGGGCTAAAGCAAGGTTTACACTCTTAAGCAATAAAAACAAACCATTAAGCTAGGCCCAGCACTGTCAGGAAGTATAAAACAGTTCTTGAAACTTTGCAGTTACTATACAAAAGCTTTTCATAAACTGTGTTTCCTGATCTTCATTAAATGTTAACATCAAGTTGCCATGGGGCAATTAGCTTGCCTCCTGAAATCAATAAAAAATCAACAATTTGGAAATAGTTGTACAGTAAAATAGTTCAATAATTATTCTCTCATAGTGTTGTGGCCAAGCGGTTCCAGTGTAAATGCAGTCCAGATGAGATCCTGCTCCTTATGAGGGAGGCTTTAAGCAGATCGGTGGTTTGCTTAGAGACCTCCTCATCAGAATGGACTGCAACAATAATGTACTTCTGGCAATGCCTTGGAGTGGGGCCCAGGACATGGGGCAAACGCAAGCTTTTAAGTGGTGTTAAAGTCAGTGTCTTGCTTAGTACTGCTTAAGCACCTCAGAGGGACTCAATGCGAAATTCAGAGACCTACGCAAAATGAGAAACTCAGTAAAACAGAAGAAGGTGCCCTATGCTTGGCATTTGGACTCCAGATAGGAACAAATCATTACATATGTACATATACATTCACAGACACATACACACACATATATGCATATATGTACGTATGTACACACAACAAGGGGTGTATTTGAGATTAGGAATCCATTCATCCCAGCATGTCTTCAACAAATATTCAAATCTGAATTACTTGTGAGAAATCTTCCAAGTGCTTCTTAAAATAAAATAAGGCTGCTACACAGAAGAGCCTCACAGGACATTTTACTTTACAAAGAGGTGCTGTCACCAAGCAAAGGCAGAAAGTTATTTCTTTGCTGACTCCCTTTCTCAGAAGGAAATCAATTCCCGCTGTTTTTTCTAGCCTGAGCCCATGTTAAACACCTTATTTGAAGCCAACTGCAGCATTGAAAATTCCAATATCCATTAAATCAAACCTCAAATACCAGCTTTGGAAGCTTTATACCACCCTGCAGGCTCAATGGTGTTGAACAGTGAACTGTCTTAGAACTTAAAAAAAAATCAAGCATCATATTTAGTATAAACAAATGCTTCAAATGTATGACATCTATTTGCTGCCTTCAAAGGGAAAACTTTAAACTCAGACGCTTGGCACTAAGATCACACAGGATCAGCTCAGTGGACTGACTTAAGTGTTAAAGTTTTTTAAAGTACGTTTTTAAGGGCTTGCACCTGCTCCCCATCCACATAGATGTACTGACACGTATTTGACTAAACTGACTACATACATGCCCAAGCAAGCAAGCAGAGCAGATTTTACAAGATAAGCAACCAAGTGTTTTCATGTCTGAGGGTGGCTAGAACACAAAATTGCCAGTCATCTTGTGGGGGGAAAATGCCTTTGAAAAAAAAAAAAATGTAGGGCATCATTTCAGATACGGTGAAAAGTATTAAGATGCCATCCTGTATACGGGTTTGGTTTCTGTTTTTTTTTTTTTTTCCTTTAAGTACTGCTGCTTAGAGAGGGGCCTAAACTTGGTCCAACTTCTGCAGTGACGGCGAAGCTATTCATTATAGCCTTGGTACTCAATCTGTGGTCCTTTGGCCTGTAAGGGCTTCACCTCGGAGCTTGTTAGAAATGCAGGATCTCAGGCCCCACCCAGACTCACTGAAACAGAATCTCTAATAGAACATGATTCCCGGGGGTCTGTATACACGTTAAAGTTTTATTCTCCTTACAGAATTCCTGGTAATTCGGATGCACATTAAAATTAAAGTTTTATTTAGAGCATTGGTCCCCTAAGTTAGGTAGAAGTTTACTTTGAAGTTTGCAAGCCAGGGAAATGGTCAGAAAATTCTGCCCTGGAGAATACCAAAAGGCTGTAATTTATGTCAGCAGGGTGGAGGAAAGAGGAAAAGCAATTTACCCAAGCTGAGCAGACCTGCATCTTATCCCCCATTTCACCCTACCCGTTCCCTGCACAAAAATAAATAAATAAATAAATAAATAAATATAAAACAGAAGAGAAATGGCGCCAGGACATTCTTAACTTTTCTTGGATTATGAATCTATGCCACAATTACTATAGGCTTTAATTGCTCTTGACTGCAAGGCTATGTTCCTTTTGCCTTAGAACAGATAAGGAGGCTGTGGCACGTAAACATTCGGTGAATCTTAACATTAATATGCCAGTAGCATAGAAATATGCTATTTTTGAAAGCCCTTTGAATTGTGCACATGATTTTCCCTCTCCAGTAATAAATTGAGGGAAAAAATATGGATTGCTTAGGTAATGTAGTGATTATACAGCTTGTTATATAGATCAGGTTTACAGATCATCTCTCCATTCTTGACCTCTTAAGGTACAATTTAAAGCTGCGATTTAAGTAGAAATTATGAAAAGATGGAAGCACAGATAGATCTGTAAGCTGCCCACACTCTCTTTTCCTAATTTTTGAAGGCAAATAATGAACATGGTAACCCGGACGTGCCATACAGGTTAAAACCATGCCAGAGGGGCACATGCAGTCGAGACAAGCACAAAAACAGATGATCAGTTTAACCGATTTTGAAAGGCGGGCCCCTGAAAATTCAGAAATGACTATGTGTGGACTTTTTAAAGCCAACTCTGAAATGATTCCAAGGATCCTATAGAATAGTGAGTGCAATTAAAGACATTCAGTGTTATGTTCATTTTGACTCTTTATTCCTCGGAATGAAGACTGTGAGCTAAAATGTCTGTAACAATGTAGGATGTTTGTAAAAATATTGTTTCTCATGTGAGCTTCCAAGAGGGTCAGAGTGTCTGATTATAAAATCTCTGAAACTAAACTGAAAATGCCAGCATCTATACATATGTACTACATATTACATACATCTTTAGATGTATATTTATGTATTTTATGTTTTATATATTAAATACGCATATGCAAGATAACACATTTTAGTCGACACCATTGAAAACAGTTTTAACCAAGAATATTAGAACCAATGAAGCAGAGAAATCAAAAGGGTGGATGGAACTGCCAAAGGATGAAATTCTTGTGCTATACTCTCATGCTCTCATCTAGAGAATGTGAATATGAGAAAACATGGGTCATTCGTTTTAACATGTTAAGACCGTGCAGTCTGTCCTTCATGTCCATGGCAATAGAGGGTGAAGAACAGCTGGAGAACAAACAAGACCCCAATCCCCTCAGTTGGGTATGATCTAATGGTTCTCACCTAATCAAGAACAATAGAACTAGAGATAAAAAGGAGCTGCAAGATTTTAAAAGTTAACCAGCATTAGTAAAAGATAACTGTCATGCACATTTAAAGATAAGGTTTACATAACCTCATAACCTCCGAACTGTAACTAAGCTCATAGTCATCAAAAGTTAATTCCTAGGAAGAATTTGATTATAACAGTCTGTTCCATTATAAACACACTGTTTTTTAGCCAATTCCAAGGAGATTAGAGGTAGGTTTCACCAATCATGCATGGCAGGATCAGAGGGGATGCAAAGTCCTGGAAACTGACCTAAAATACTGCCAGTAAAATAGTGGGTAGTTGTGGGTGCCCTGCTCTTATGAACATCTGCTGAACCCTTCCTTGGTCTGATTCTAACCCAGGGTACAGAAGCCCTGACACTCTGGTAAGTGTTCAATCTGAGCAGCCTAATTTGACTTCATTCTGTTTGGGCGTCAGTCCAACTGGCAGATGTTCTTATAGAAGCTGATCTCCGACACTTTCCCTTTCTAATTTTCTGGCACCGTTGCCTCTGTTGCATGGGCTATTATCTCTGAAACTTTATCTCGGGTTATCCAGGTTTTGCTTGTTTTGTAGGCTTTAGTTTTCCCTTAAATCTTTCTGCCCCAAAGAAGTTCATTTGAAAAATACTAAATCACTGGTAACACCTTTAGTGCAAATATGACTTATCAAATAACTTGCCTGCAATTTTCCAGCCATTCATTACCTTTCCCCCACCCCCTCTAAAATATATAACTTCAGAAACAAAAATGCAAACACAAGGTCATCATTGTAAGCGCTATACAAATGCACCATTTTCTCTTACAGGTTGGACTTTATAGAATGAAATGCCAGAGATTTGATATTTATTATCTGAAATAGGTTTAACATTTGGAGAAATGTGTTCAAACACACAACCTTGGAAAGAAAAGCAAGCTGATAGGTCAGAGAACAGAGGGTGGGCAGAAAACACGATGTGCATAATTTTGCTGCGTGTTGGGCAAAAAGTTAGAAAACTGGGTTCTTTGGAGAATAAAGAGCTCTCAGATGAGGTAAAGGTAAAACACAAATAAATTTCCAACCCTTGATGAGGGCCACGAGATATCAATTTTAAATATATATGACCACAATATCAATAATGAAGAAATCTTACGTTTTATTGAATACTTTGGCCAGATCAGCCCCTTTGAAGGGATCACTAATTTAGGAAAGAAGAACAACAAACCATCATTCACTTTCCTGCAGGTTCATCGTTTTCCTAATTATTTCTATGGATCCTGCTTTATTCTTTCTGTAAATTAAGGGGCAGGAGGAGAGTTTCTATAATAGATCAGCAATGTCTGGTTCTTATCCAAATATTCCACCTAATAAGGATGTAAATTCTCATGGATTGGACAATCACTCTGCAACATTCCTGAGAATTGAATAATATAATAATCTTGAAAGTCAGCAGAGTGGATTATCCACTTTTTTTTTCTGGACTTGAACTTGTGAACTCAACAGTAGCACTGCAAAAAAGCAAACGTGCTAAGCACTTTGCCAGAGTAACCTTCCATGTAGACTTTTCATCTTAAATACACACAACTGAAAACAACTACAATTTTTGGAAAATTATGTACAAACCCGATACTTCTTTTGATTACATATAAATACAAATTAGCTATTTTTTTCCTAAAAAGTGGTTATAATAGTAAATAAATACAAAATAAATCTGACCATTATACTTCATGTGCTGGGGTTGAACCCATATAAAATGTACAACTAAATACATTTTAAATCTTTAAGGAATAATTCTCTGATTAAAATATTTGTTTTCCCAACTTCTTTTCGTAGATATAAATATATTTTCAAAATAGCTGTTTTTTTTTCCATTCCATTCCATAAATAAAGTCTTCATTGGGAAATATTAAAGTGTCAACTGGGGTGGGGTTTTTTTGTTTGTTTGTTTTTTTCTTTTTTCTAAAATATATATATATATATATATTTATGTATTTAATTTTGCTGTACTAGCGACACCCACAACCCTCCACAACCATGTCCTGATAGTTCTTTAATACAACCTTTTCATTCTCGTCAAGGTACAGCATCGAGATAGCACTGAGTTCTGTCGGGACACAGCATGCCTTAGGAATCTTAGAGTTAACAGAGTTGACCAACGTCTGAACAATGGCATGATTAGTGGAGTTCAGATGATCAGCCAGAGGAAAAGGGCATTCTCCGTGGCAGTAAAAGGCGTGATACCCCGGGGGAGCCACAATCCAGTCATTCCACCCCACGTCACTGAAGTCCACGTACAAAGGGTGTCTCTTACAGCTGGACTTAAGGCGTTTCCGCTGTTTGTGTTTGGCTTGACGTTTTTCTCTTTTGTGGAGAGGATGCCCTTTTCCATCATGGCCAAAAGTTACTAGCAATGGCCTTATCTGTGACCAGCTGTGTTCATCTTGGTGCAAAGACCTGCTTATCCTAACATGTCTCTTGGAGACACCTTGTTTCTCCTCCAAGTGGGCCACTTCCACCACGAATCCATGGTTGGCGTGTCCCTGTGCAGTCCACCGCATCACAGCGGGGGTGACATCAAAACTTTCCCACCTGCTTGCATTCTGATTCACCAACCTGGTGTCCAAAAGTCTGGTCACGGGGAATTTCGAGTTGGCTGTTGCAGGTTTTATGATTTCATAAATATTAATTCGGTGATGGAAACTGCTATTGTTTCCTAAAGCATCTTGCATCTGTTCTCGGAAAACCTGAAGCTCTGCTGAGGTGATAAACTCCTCCGTGGGGATAGAACTTAAATTAAAGAAGAATCTCCGGGTTGTTTTCCCACTCGTTTCTGGTAGTTCTTCCAAAGATTCTAATTTGATAGAGAAAAACAGGGAAGAAAAAAGAAAAGTCTGAATTTCAGTAAGCCAAGTAATGACGTTTGATTATCTATGAGAATTTTTAAACCTCATCGTGGGATTTGATGTAACCCATGTAAAAGTAGGTAACCAGAAAATAAAAATTTCCTCTTTAAATAAACATGGAGCCTCCCTTCTCTCTGTTCTGTAAGTTCATGTCATCATGCATTGCATACCAGGAAACAACCTTTCATAATTCTTTGTTGTGTTTTTGATCTAATACATGAATACTGCTTCCAGGTGGCTATAATAATGGGGGAAATGGTGAAGCATTTCTTTGGAATTCCAGACTTTAGGGTAAAAAAAAAAAAAAGTCAGCACTATAGTTAGTAGAGGTCTAATGAGTGAGGATTTGAGGAAATTATTGCATTTCTTTTTTAAAAAAGGCTTTAATGCCAATCCCTTAAGCAGTATTCTAAAACATTACTCTGCAATTTAGATGATTTACAAATCTCGATATACAGATTTCAGCTTCCTAATTAAAGACTCTGAAACTCAACATCAACGATGACATTTTGCAAAGCACACCCTACTATTTTACTCAAAAGTCCAGAGACAAAGGCATTTACAGGGATCTACTTCTTTGGAAACGTATGGGTGGTACTAGGACACTGTAGTAATTAAGGCCAAACAATTTCAAGAGAAATAGCTTTCCCAACTGTTGTCTGTTCTCTCACCTCTTTATGACCTCAAATATCAAAATCTCATTTTAGATGCTTTTGGAAGAAAAATAAATGACCTGTCTTCTGTTTGCAATGCCTTTATAGTTTTGAAAGATAAACCATGTTAAAAAACCATGTACCTACCCAGTAATAGTGTGCAGGATGGACACAAAACCAAAAAAATAATAAAAATTTACAAAAATATGATTATGATCTCCATGACAAAAGGAACAGTCTCATCCTATTACAGAATAATCCTTCTATATCCACTATCATTATTTCAAAATAGCCATTTAAGTGGGCCATGCACAAAAGCTTTGTCTGATTTAAAATTTCTGAATTTCAATTTTTAAGAAGTATTATTCTCCAAGCAAGTAATATATAACACAGCACCTTGAATGCTTGTAGTCTGCAAATCATCAAAGGTACAACATTATTATTAAACTGGTAGTATATACCATGAGAGTTTGAGACATTTAAGTTTATTTTATTCTAACTTTACCACATCCTATCATTTCACTGCCAACAGAATTTGCCTGCTTCATTCAGAATTCCTACCCAAGTGCTAACAAAATCTATTTTGCCATCGTTCCATGTTATCATAAGAAGAGACTATGTTTTTATTAATTTTACAGTTGTATTTCCCCTAAAGACAAACAGCTGTAAGTTGTGCACTGAATCTAGATGCCTTAGCAAAGGAGAATCATGTCAGATCACTCACTCAAAGGATCTACCCGTGTAAGCCTTCATCATCAAAGCAACAGTCATCATGCAAGCTAAGTGGACACACCAAGTTCAGTCAGGGCAGTTTATACCAAACTAACGCTTTAATGCAGTGCTTTTCAAACTTCAGCCTTCACATAAAACAGCTTGTACACCGTAAAGCTTCAGATGCAGGCTCTGATTCAGTAGGTCTGGGGAGATGCTTGAGATTCAGCATTTCTAGCAGCTCCTCAAGGAGGGGATTCTGGGAACTGTAAGACCACACTTGGAGTGTCAAGGTTTTGCAGCATGTTTTTCATATTCCAGTATAGATTGCCAGGAGTGCATTTTTAAAGTGCCTTTTTGTTAAATAATATAAAAACTAGTAGAAGAACCATTAGTGGTGGCAAAGGAGTAAGAGTTGAATGGGCCAGCTCTGGGTGGGCCCAGCCAGGGTCTCAGAACAGAAGGTTCTTCTAAAGCTCTTCTACGTGGATATGGGGAGTATCAGGCCAATAGAGTCCTTTAGGGTTCCCTTGTGCCTATTAATCCAAACCTCTGGGGAATACCTTTCAGGATCCATCCACATTCTAAACTCCACTGGAAGCTAATGGTACTTTAGGCCAGACACAATCATTAAAATAACCTTCTGACCATTTGAACCTGGACTCTTCTCAGTGGCTCCCAAGGAGTACCAAGGACTGTGTTTGGCCTGTTTTTTTCTCCTTCTCCTTGCAATTCAGACGTTTCTGCTGAAGGTAATTTTTCAGCAGAGAAGGTAAAAGTCAGCAACCTCAGACCCCAATGACACCAAAGCCAGACCAGCACCTGAGCTACTGGCTTATCTGATAAGAATACATCTAAGAACACCCTCTTTTCTTTCAAAGAGGGGGAGGCAAGGAAAATTATCTAGAGCACTCGCTGACTAGCTATATTAACAAAAGTGCCCAGAGAAATCACAATTGCAAGAAAAACCCTAAATCCCAATGCATAAAGAAACATACATTCTCACACATTCTCTCTCTCGCACACACGTACACACCCACATGGCCAGACGATGACAGTGAAGGGACAAGCTACAAGTCAAGTATGAGGGACAGGTAAATGAAGTAAAGAAGATGGGTATAAAAAAGGTATGAAATAGAATAATAACCTCCCAAAAAATTAAATGACAAGATTGAATCATACAAAATTGCCACTATTTGACCAGAAACACAGACAACAACAATTTCATGTGGTTCAAGGTCTCAGTGGAAGTAGGCAGCCTTAGCAAAGGAGAATCAGTTAGTGGCCTTAAGAAAGGAGAAAAAATAGACGAGCAAATAATAATAGGCGATACGAAGATCTTTCTCTGACCTTCCCACTGCACCTCAGTGAATCTGTTTCTTGAAAGGTCCCATCCTCAAGACAAAAGCATCCATTGCAACACCCCTGGTTGCAGAAACAGGTCACAGAGGTAAGTTAGACGTTCACAGAAACCCTCAAACCCAGGAAAGTAACTGGCCAAGGTTAGGGAATATACGCTCATTTTCTTTAATCTGCCAGGGAAGAGTACGAATCTTTTCTTAAGGGTACAAAAATTAAAACCTATTTGAAATAAAGTAAATTAAATAAACAAACCTTCTATAAATCATCACAGCAACCCTGAGGATGCCAAAAATATATGGATCCTCAAGTAATGTATGCTTTTTTGGAGACTTATACAATTGCTAGTTTTCTGTAAATATCCCTTCCTGAATAAGCTGAAGTTCTTAAGGGATTTGAGGATTTCGACCTGTCTTTGACCCGAGTTTGTGAGCTTCTAAGTTCTTAACCAAATGGATGGAGCTATGGCTGCAAAAATGTGGGAAAGTGAAGAAAAATAAGACAACAATGATATCTGAACTTTTCTCCAAAAGTGAAGTCCTAATTTAATAATCTATACTATATCAATCATTCCTCTACCTCAAAATAATTCAAAAGACTGAGCTGAATTCTCTCAGTCAGCCTAGGTCCACTCTGGCCTCCTTTTCCCTAGAGAAGGAAAGGCTATAACATTAACAAAAGAAGTCATAATGATAATGACAGCTGAATGCTTTTTTTGAGTGTAATCTGGCACCATCAGCTTTATATGAATTATCTCACAACAAACCAATTAGAGAAAAACTATCATTATCTCCATTTTGTAAATGAAACAGTTGCAGTTCAGAGAGGTTATGTAACTTTCCTAAGGTCACAGAGCTAGCAAATTAAAAGTAGATATATATAATTGAATCTACTGCGCTTCTCAGGTTTCTTGTCTTTTGTTTTGTTTTGTTTCTTGTTTTTGTGACACAGGGTCTCACTCTGTTGCCCAGGCTGGAGTGCAGTGGCACAATCTTGGCTCACAGCAGCCTCCACCTCCCAGGTTCAAGCAGTCCTCCCATCTCAGCCTCCCAATTAGCTCGGATTACAGGCATGGGCCATCATACCTGGCTATTTTTTTATATTTTAGTAGAGATGTGGTTTCACCATGTTGGCCAGGCTGGTCTGGAACTCCTGACCTCAAGTGATCCACCCACCTAAGCCTCCCAAAGTGCTGGGATTACAGGTATTAGCCATCATGCCCAGCCAGTTCCCAAATTTCTGGCTACTAGATGGCACTACCTAACATACATGAGGACTCAAAAACTTAAGCAAAAGTCAAAACCATTAGGGGCACATTTATATTTAGTACAATGATAACATTGGGTGAGTTCTGTCCCAACTAAATGAACAGAAATATATGACTTAGGTATGATGGACAGAACAGACAGAAATGAGCAGAAAAGTGACGGGGCCCACTGGAATGTGTCTATTTTATAAGGAGCCACTGCTATTTTGTGGCTGCCCTTTTGTTCTAAATAAAGTATGGTAAGTTTTATCAAAAAAGTAAGTTACCGTTATGCTTCGAGGATTTTAAAACACACTTTGGGCTAAAAAATCTCCAGTAAAACAACAACAACAACAACAAAACCTGGGGATATGCTGGCAATCAGTAAGGCTGGAAGTCACTGCCCTAACACAAAATGAAAGAGGCTGAGTATAATATAAGATTTTCCAGATAATAAAATAACAGACAACTGATCAAGGAGAAAAAAAATATCAAATACAAAAGGTTAAAAACATTCCATTTTAAAAAAAATACAACAAGGGAATGGCAAATAAAGGAATAGAGAGCATGGTTGTCATCAACAACCCTGATTTGGCCTCTGCCCACCCTTAACACCAACACCTTCGGAATGATGAAATATTCTCTTATTGTCTCAGTGAAAATACACAAAGAGCAAGTCTAAGAACGCAAAATAGTTCACTGCAAAGGGATTAAGAGAAATTTAGGGGAACCACTAAAAAACAGGTGGAACGGAAAATGTCAGTGCCAAGGAAGTATCACTGGACACCAAAGCCTCAATCTCAACAACCATTTCCAAATAGAGTAATTTTCCTACTTAATGTGGCCTCTGTAATGACAATGAAATACCTGGGGCCACTAGGGAACCATACCAGGTAAGTATTGGTTTTGGTGGATCTATGTGTCCAAATCTGTTGTTTGCACGGGGGAATTTGTGCCACAAAGTCTCTAATGCAGGGCAATAGTTATTTCTTGAACTTTTCTATTATATGGATATTTTCATAATAATTATATTTGTGGAAAGAGGGTTAATCTCTATTTGAAAGCTTCAGTCACAGAGGCAAATAATCCAGTTATTTCATGTAGAAAGAAGACTGTGTCCTTCAGAGTGAGGAGAACAAGAAGCACCTGGTCTTTCTCTCTCCCATCTGACAAAAAAGCATAAAGACTTTTTGGAGGGCCAGTGAAGTCAACCAGTTTCAATGTGTTTCCAACTACAGCAATACACAAAACACTCTTTCCACTTGCAGAACTGACTTTTCTATGTTCAATGGCAGTTTCCAAAGGTCTATGTAGCTGAAGCACTTTTTAATGATCTTGAAAACAATAACATTTTAGCAAAGCTGATATTCTCCCAAATAAAAGCCACTGGAGAAAGGACTAGACAAAATTCAATAGGAAAAATACAACTGATAATTCTGTCTCAGATCCCCTATGATATGGTCGCATTATACTCATATTGGTTGAAAGAATGCTATCATGATATCTCGTCGAGTAATTCCACCAAACCATTCGATCACACCTACAAAGAAAACCCAACAGGTAATTCTTATGATTGGGTCTTTATGGTCTTTTTTCAAATAAATGCTCATTAATGCTGTAGAAACTAAATTCTGTTCTTGAGCCAGCAACCTTCATCACATGGTTTACCAAAAACTTTTTTCGTGGCATGCATGGCACAAGGATGTTTATCAAAAGCAAATCCTGGGTGTATACAACAATGATTAGTCTTGAAAAAAGTGCTATATCCATCCAGATTAAGGATGATATATTAGTCATAATGAGACAAGAAATGGATTAGTTGAAATTTGGGGCAAAATTACATAGCTTTTCTCCATTATCTAACTGCATTAAGACCTGAAGTTATTACAAGTTGATTTTAATCAAGTTGGTCACTTCTGTACTGTTTCTCAGGTAACATTTACACTCACAAAGATATAAATTCTGATTTTATAAACTCAAGCATGCTTTTTAAGTTAAAATAACACAGTTGAATAACGTGTAGCCTGTTTAGTTCTGATCAAACCACTTCTAGATGAATGATGAGAATATGCAGACATCACTGATAAAATCCTCACACAATGGAATGTTTTAGGTGTTAACTAACTTAAATGATCTTCCTTTTAAGTTGTAACAGAGACACAGCATCTTCCAGGCCTTAAAAATAAAGTTGAGAGCTTCCATGCTAAATTTCCAGAAGAGGTGTCTAAAACAGTTGTTCTTATTACATTCCTATACAAAAAAAAAAGTATTCTAATCAGCATTACCTGGGAATGATTAGCTGGATCTATAATCATTTCAGGGTTAAGATGGCAGAATGTACACATACACACAAATTTTACATATGACAACAGGTGATTTCTGCTTTCATTGGATGAATTCTGAAAGAGTGGAGTGAGATCTTACTGCCTTTCAAATCTGATTTCTGCTAGCAGAGAGCACCTCACTTAGAAATGTGCTTGTAAATGAACTGATGATCAATTCAGTGTCCCCGTCGTAATGTGTAGCTGCCTCAATGAGAACGTATCTTCTGCTATGTGGCTTGCCTTTGGGACTTATTCCCATTACCAACAAATACTCTCACAAGTATAAGTCACCCTTCACACTGGGAGAAAACATCTGGAAGTGCCATTTCCCATTAGTCTATTATCAGTGTAAATTTCCCACTTGAAATTTACCACCTAAGCAGGGAAAGGCAAGAAAGAGAACTTCACTCCCAACTCCCCAAATATCTGCCAAGTGGTTGCTCTGTGATATACACTTTTGTACTCTTTTCTAGGAATTGAAGAAACCCATGCTCTATTTTAAATGTATTAAGCCAAAGAAGCATTTAAAAGTGTAGAAAAAGAATTGAAGTGGAACATATTTTTGACTAATTGCTCTAAGAACTTAGGTACAGCAGACCTCAATAGCTGCTGTAAGACATTTCCAGTCCACTAAATGCCCTTCTGATGAAACAAGCAGAAATATCCCACCTTAGAAAAACCACATGTAGTATCATAAAAGAAAAAAAAATCCACATTTCGGTGCACATGAAAAAAAAACAGGCAGCTGCTACAAACGCTTTTATCTGAAGGCTTGCCTTGTCTCTACTCAGAGCCTATCTCAGATTTAAGCACAGGACAAGAAAGTCATTGTGGAAACAATAAGATTGATTGTAGTATTGATCTCCCACGGGGATTAGATTGGGATTCAAAATCTTCCAAACCAGGCCCAGATCAACTATAAATTAGAAAGACTTTGGGGCCCTGGGCTTTGATTTTTCAATACTATCTCTGAAAACTCTGCCCTTGGCTCTGTCTACCCTAAAACCCTGGCTTAAGCGGCAGATTTATAGAGCAAAAGCTTCCAAACAGACTTAAAGAAATCTCAATCTGCCTCCCTTTTTCTCCTTTTCCCTCTGTGGAATTCTTGCACGTTTAGCTGACTAGAGGCATGCCTTTTGCCCTCATCTTCCCCATCACTTGATTTCTCTCCAATTCTTCCAGGAGGAGTAGCTCTTCTGGCTGCAAGCCAGGAAGAGGGTGCGGAGTTACTAAAGGGGAATCCCTGGCTCCCCCACCACACAAGCAGTGAGTTAAAATCAGATTCAGAAACGATAGTACAGAAGCAAGAGTGGAAACGTCCGCTGGTGCCCCGGCCAAGCTGCCTCTACAGGGACGGCTGCAGTCTGCCCACGGTGGAGGGCTTTGCAGGGTGACTCCCCGCCCCCACGCCCTGCTCCATGCCTCACCTTCATGGTGGAAGCTGCGCACAGTGTTGGCTCGGCTGGCTGCCCTCTCCAACCGGTGGTCTGGGGCGGGTGAGCCCGGCTGACCTGAGTGCCTGCGATACAGGTCTAGCATGTAGGGGGGCACCACGGCGTCCCTGCTGGGGGTGGGTCTCTGTTTCAGGCCGAACATGCTGAGCAGCCGCAACTCGAACTCGCTCAGGACCTCGTCAGAGGGCTGGGATGAGGGGCGGCCCGACGACGCCGCCGCGAACTTCCTGCGGCCCAGCTCCGGAACGAGGCCAGCCGCGCCGCCCAGGAGGACCTGGGGAAGCAGCAACGCTAGAAGACAGCGGGTCCCGGCCACCATGGTCGACCTGCGGACAGGACCGACGTGAGTCACCCGAGTTCCCCGCCCAGTCCTCCCCCCTCGCGCCCCCGCGGCCCGGTCTCCCATTTGGCTGGCGTGCCTCCTCCAGGATGCCCTCCTGGCTTGGCACACTCACGAGTCTAGGTAAGACCGACCGAAGCTCAAACGTTTGGGATAATGAAGGGTCCCAAGTTCCTGAACCAGATGATTTATCGCTCCCATCCAACGCTTAGCTCGTCTGACATCAGATTTGGGATTTGCCCTCCCCCCCAACCAAACCAGCGCCAATGACTGTCACTTTTTTGTGTGTGACACAGCGCTGACAGCCAATGCCGGGAACCTGGGAAAACCACCGCTTGATCTGACACCCTGCGTCCCCTATACAAACCCAAATGCGGAGTGCTGAGCGCTGTCTGGCATATAAACACACATAAATGGTGCATGTGACTTCCTTAGAGGCACTGTATAGAACTTCCTGACACACACACACACACACACACACACACACACACACCCTTATAGCTTCCAGACCCTGTAAGCTCAAGGCCACAACTTCTGAAGCCACTTATGACTTGTGTCCCAGGCCCCTACCCTCAGGGGTGTCTCGAAAGGCAGCTCCATCCCGCATCCCCACAGTGCAGTCAAGATACACATGTATCTTCCCGGGATTACGTAAATGGTGAATATCTATTAATGCACGTGTCAGCTGTTAAAAACACAGTACCAAGTGATCCTTCAGTACTGACCCCTCGCATTTCTGGAAACAAGTAGGGAGAACCCCAAACTCCTAGTACTTTCCTAAATGGGACACGGCTCTGAGCAAAGAAACCAAGTCTCCCGGAAACACTTGAAGAATGGAGATCACCATGGCAGAGCGGACAGGTTCTCAGCTAACGGGTGAAACCCAGGGGCTACCCTCTCAAAGGGATTTCTTTGACCCAAAAAAGTTTTTAAAAAAATTAAAAATAAATAAATAAATAAATAAAACACCTCATCTAAGTGTTAACAGCTCCAAAAGTATTCCAGGGAGAGGGGAAGAAAGAGGGGTGGAAGAGTGCGGGCCGGGAGGGTGAGGCTTACGGTCGCCCGGGGCAGCTGGAAGTGGGAGCCCCTGCAGGGCTCCGTTGCACGTGGACTGGAGAGGGGTCTGTTTACTTCTGGCCTGGACGTAAGGAAGGGCTCTACCGCAGTGGCTGCCCAAATCCCCCTCCCACCCACCACCCACCCCGGGCCCTGGCCCGCGTCCTCTACCTTTAGGAGACCGCAGTCCGTCTAAGAAGCACGCGGGGACACGTCCATTGAAAGAGCGTCCACATGGAAAAACTCTGGTCAAAGGACCTGGCGCAAGGACCGAATGTCCGTTCCTTTTCTTTGCCTCCTCCTTCTCCCGGGTGCCGGCCGCGCAGTCTCTCTTTTCACGCTGGGAACAGCGTCTCAGTGTCGGGCAAGGCCGAGGAGTGGAGGGGCGGTGGGGCTCGGAGATGGCGAAGCAGGCTCCGCTGGGGCAAAGGCACCGGCGCAAAGTGGGGTGCGCAAGTTATTCTCCCTGCAAGTTCAAGAAGTCCCCAGCCAAGTGCTGACACACAACAACAGCGAGCAGGGGGAGGAGTGCGGGGCAGGGAAGGGAAGGGAGAAAGGAGAAGCTGGTGCTGTCGTCCTCCTTAGGAACCAGCGCCCGAGGGACGCGTGGCCCCGCGCGGGGCCGGCTCCGGGACTCGGGGGTCGAGGGTCGGGCGCTCCGCGCTAGCTCCGCCGCGGCCCATGGCTCGGGGCAGCCATCCTGGGCGACGCCGGGTCCAGGGAAGGGCACGGCGGCGATCTCGGTGCCAGGCGAGTTGCCCCCCCGCATCACTCTGCCTTACTCCAGTGCACCCCCATTCGCGCTCGCCAGTTGAAAGCACCGCGGCTCTGGCGCCCCGTCGTCCTCGGGCGCATTCTCCGGCGAGTCGAGCCGAGTCCCGGGCCGCCGAGGCGGGTGGCTGTGCTCTCCCCTCGCTCTCCTAGCCCTGGGGCCAAGTGCCCTTTGTGGCTAGCCTGGGGTCCGATCACACCTCGGCCAGCGCGTCCCAGGCCCCCGATCTCCTGCAGTAGGTGCTCCGCATCGCGGCGCTAGGGATCGGCTCCGGAGTCCCCGGCGCTCTGCGCGCCCGTCCGCGGCTCTGGCGCAGCCCGGGCAGCAGAGGCCACGGCGCTGTGGCGCGCTCTGCCGGGTGCTCCAGCCCGCGCGGGGTCTGCGGCGCGCGGGTGCCTCGCGGTCCCCGGTGATCCACTCGGCGCTGGCCCCGAGAACGTTCGGGTAGCCGGCGGAGGCTGTGGCGGCAGATGTGCGGCGGCGGCTGCCAGTCCCCGGCGGGGTGTGGGAAGCGGAGCGACTAGCGCAGCGCGAGCCGGGCGCAGCGCGGCGGGGCGAGGACTCCGGCGGCGGCGACGGCGGCGGCGGCGCCGTGGCGCGGCGCTCGCGGCTTTTAAAGGGGACGCCGCCTGCCGGCTCCCTCCCGGCCGCGGCCGAACACCTCCCCCTTCGCGGCGCGGCTCGCCGGGGATCCCCGAGCGGGCGGGAGCTGCGCGCAGGGGTGTGGACGGCGCGCCCGGGCAGCCGCGGCGGGGTGGGGCGGAGGGCGGGGGCGCGCGGCCGCCAAGGGGGGCGCTCGCGCCTCCACTCCCTGCTCTCAAAGGAGAGATCAGCTGGCGCGCCGGACCCTCGCGGGGACTCTGGAGGCGAAATCCAGGACAAATGCAGGGTCAGGGTCTGGCCTCTTATTTCCCCGCTGGGCCCGTTATTCAACTTTCAGTTTGAAGTTTTTCGGTAATATACGATTTCAAAAAACAAAACAAAACAAAACACCTCAATTACAGCGTATTTTGGCATAGCATAGACGTGGGATCCACGCTTCTGTTTCCCCGGAATAGGAGGAAAATTAAAAGAAAACAGCAGGCTGGAAATTGAGTGTTTTTAAACATTAATACATAGAGATGTATGTATTTACATATGTAAATGCATGTGTACAAATTTTTTTACATAAATGTGTATGCATTTATTTTCATATCCATACGCATGTAAATTTATAGTTACATAAATATATCCAATATACAAAAATATGTGCATATATTTCTATAAATATATTCATGTATGAGAATATATGCAACCGAAGGGCCACATTTCGGTTAATATGTCTATGTATGTGACATGGATGTCATCCTGCTTTACGTGACATGTGTGTAACGTAGACTGCGTGTGTGGCAGACTGAAGGATGGATGGGAGGGATTTGATTTTTTTATTGTACAATCACTTTGTGCCTTGTGATATTTATCTCACCCAGCTCAGAGGCAGGCGATTAGCAGCTCAGAGGAAGGTAAAATAACGCACTGTGTGAACCAAGCATACAGGACAATTCCAGTTTGGGACCTTGGAACCTTCTACGCCACCCTCTTCCACCAGGCCCCCAAGAAGTAGGGCTGTGACACGTGGCCAAGTCACTCCTCAGCTGAATATTCACTGAAGTCACTCCTCAGCCGAAATACTGCTCAGAGCTGCTGCACGATGAGTCTGGGGCCAAGGCTTTCTGCCCTTCCCAGGATTCCAGGAGCCCCCATGCACAGCACCTCGGGCTTGCCCAAATGATCCCCAAAACCAAGGGCAGAAAATTTTTGGAAAAGGCCAAGTTCTGCTTTCCCAGAGCTATCGGGCCTGCGAAACAGAGAGAAAAAAGTCAGAAGCAGGAGCTGGTAATAGAACTATTATCCATGTGTATTATTTTTTCGGTAGGGGAGCTAAAATAATACTAGGTTCCGCTCACGTAAATCGGATTAGCAACCCACAGAGGCGAATTAGGCACTTGCTGTTTCTAAAGGTATAAAGGTCAAATAAGGTATTTTGGAGGAAGCCTGACTACCAGGAAAATAAAAGGGGGTGGGGGAATTATTCAGGAACATGCTACTTTATTTCCTGAAAAAAAAAAAAAAGGTGCTATAGAAGTTGATTGTCACTCAGAGTCATTGCACCGCAAACAAGGAGGCAATAAAACATATCCTACTCATGGACACAGGGCTTCTGAAATTATTTCCTTTCCTATCAAGTTTAATTGAGAAGTTAACAATTGTTTCTCTCATTACTTAGATTTCAAAAACAAAACAAAACAAAACTTCAATGAGATTTAAGTAGCTTTTAAAGAGGAGGAAAAGTTGATAACTATTGGATGCACCCGAAGAAAAAATAAATAAATATCCTGTGATGACCTCAAGGATGTCTTGCAGCTTTAGAACTTCATAACCTGGTAAGTGGAAACCTTGTCAGTTTAGAATCTGAGGGAAAATGGGTACTTCTGAACACTGTTTCATGTTAGTGCTGCCCATTGCAGAATCTCTTTTATGTAGGGTGTATGATTTCTGAGGAACTACTGAATGCTTGTTCCAAGCACAACTTACATAAATTTTGGCCCTATTTTTTTTTTTTTAGAGATGGCTGCCCTCTTGTGGTGGAAATGAGTTCGAACGCTTGAAAGAAAGAAGTCCATAAATAAATAAATAAATAAATAAGTAGTCTCCAGAGACTGATTTGGGATCGAAGTACAGGATGACTGTACCTACCCGTTTTCCAGGGAAGAGCAATAGTCAGAAATGATAAATCTAAATACAGACGAGCTATTTCTTTTTTTTTTCTCTCTCTTCACTAATGGCTACCTTCCACCTGCAACTTAGAATGCTGGGTTATTTAATACTTTGGGAGAGTGTCTGTTTGCCTTGAAAATATCACTTGCAGCTAACCATTGTCAATTCTACCGTTTTCAAAGGTCCATTCAAAGTTTTTCAGTTCAGAGGGTGAGATTCAGTCTTGCTGAGTTTATCAGACTTAGTGCATCTGCCAGCAAATGTGGAAGGGGCAGAGGTGGGAGTGGGGAGTTGTTTAAGATAGGGATAGTAGAAGTTGCAAATTCAAATGCATCAGAGGGTACAGACAAGTTATGTAAAAAAGCAAAGATGACCAGATAATGATTCCACATAAAGGAGGTTGTTGCTATTCCATTTCAGTCATCTCTTGGCAGTTTCTCAGGAGATAGTGGAAATTTGCATTTGATTGTGTGTGGACAAGACTCGGGATGAAATTAACTGCTTACAGTCATACTTTAGCAATTTTAGCACTTCAGCTCACATGATATTCCATTTTATTGCATTCTGTAGCTATTAGCATTCAGTATTGTTCTTGCTAGGCCAAACATTATGCAAATCAACATTAAAATAGTGATCCCCATGTATTGTAAAGTTCACAGCAGGCATTACGTGATCCATCTACCTTGTAATTGTCATTCCATGGAAACCTGTGGCAACTGCCCTGAGAAACCCTCTTTGCTTTTTAGCATACATATCGCTTTGTTACAAGGGTGACACCCATAACCATCCCTACTTACTTTACCTGGATGAAGTTTTTTTTACAGGAACTTGGAGCCAAGGCAAAAGAGAAGCATTTAGTCAATCAAATGTTTTCCTTTTTGGTGTTTGATTAGACATGGTAGAAAGGATGGGAGAGGTGGAGTGATTTATATCAGAAACTAGGCCAAGTTGGCCAAATCAGGATCACTGCTTTCAGCAAGTACCAACTACATCTTCTTAAAAATTAAAAAGAATGAATTTTGTGCATTGATTAGACTGTCACACAGTTTAAGATGTACACCTTAAGTTATGTCTGTAAACTATGTTGATAACACTCTAAGATGTAGTTGGGTGACCTGGGTTCTAATTCCTGGTTCTGTCATGGATGACTGACTTTAAAATGGTCATTTCATCTGTTAATTGGGGTAAATAAATATATGTTTGCTTGCTTCAGACTGACATGATGAAGGTCAAATGGATAACATGTGTGAACTTAGTTTCTGATTGCTACTCACTCTATGTATCTTCAAATGTATTCTTTGGCCTTCTGTCTGCAATATGGCCTGGTTTTAAGAAATAGGACTTTGGATGCCTTTCTTCTCCTCCTCTTTCTCCTCCTTCTCCTTCTCTTCTCCCAGCTTTTATTATATTGCCAAACAGTGGATATTTCATCAGAAAGGCCACCAGTTGGGTCAGTCAATCTAAAGCAGAGGTCCCCAACCATTTTGGCACCAGGGACCAGTTTTGTGGAGGAAAATTTTTCTACAGACCAGGTTGGGGGTGATGGTTTCAGGATGAAACGGTTCCACGTCAGATCGTCAGGCATTAGTTAGGTTCTCATAAGGAGCATGCAACCTAGATCCCTCATACATGCAGTTCACAGTAGGGTTTGAGCTCCTATGAGAATCTAATGCTGCTGCTGATCTGACAGGAGGCAGAGCTCAGGCAGTAATGCTCCCTCACCTGCCCCTGGGGGTTCCTAACAGGCCATGGACAAGTACTATTCATGGCCCGGGGGTTGGGGACCTCTGATCTATGGCAGTAACAAATTCTCATAGCCTCGGCTCCCTCATGAATACTCTATAGAGACTAACAGTTGACTTCTCATGGAGGTTGTGAAGAATAAATGAGAAGATATGTGTGAAGACAACAAAAGGTTGCAAATTTGTATTACTATATACATGCAAATTAAGGCCATCGGTTCTGGTTCTCGAAAGATGTGAGTTTATCTTATGTGATTTTCTTTTGCACTTGGTAGATTTCAAAAATATGGGTTGAATGAGCACATGCTTCTGGAAAATGATTATAGTCTTCAAAATAAGACTCCCCTGAGAAGCCTGTTGGCTTTTTAGCATGAGTAACACTTTGTTACTAGTGCAACACCCAATACCGGTTCTGATTACTTTACCTCCATGAAATTCTTTCATGGGAACCCCGGGAGCCACAGCAAAAGAGCAGCATTTAGTCATTCAAATGTTTACCTATTTTGCATTTGATTAGACATAATAGGAAGGATGAGTGGAGTGGGGTAATTTATATGCAAAGCCTAAGCCAGGCCAAATTGGCCAAGTACGATTGTTTTAAATATCCACTACATATTATTTAATTATCATATACTAATACATTTGCATACCTTGTCAATGATATTAAAATGTTTTGACTTTCTGTTAAATAGACTGTGAAGAGTCAACTATAGTATTTCCTTTTACATACAGTCTACAAATATTTATTGAGCAACTACAAAGCCCACGGCACTATGTTATTGGGCTCCAGTTAATACAAAAGTACATAATCTCTGCACATAATTTACTTAGAATTCAATGGAAGAAATGCAACATGTTTACGGGTAAATACATATAAAATATATGGCATATGAGATAAGAACTTTAAGGGAGTTGAGAAACAATTGCTTCAGGTTTAATGAAGAGCAACTCACTTCTGAAATGTGGAACAAAAACCTTGCTCAGTGAATGTCACTACCCTTATTTTACAGGTGAAGAAACTGTGCTTGGAAAGGTTAAGTCATTTTTCCAAAGCCACATGGCTAGCAAATGGCATAGCTTACACTAGACTCATGTTTTGGGAGTTTGGGGCTTTTTTCCCCACTATGCTTATGGTCTCTCAATTCTATACAGTGGTAACAACTCAAAGCCAAGACATCATGTGAAAAAAATGTAGGATGTTGTTTTGAGGAGTACAAAGAGGTAGTTCAAATTTGGAGGTGGGGTTGGATAGGGATAAGACTATACTAGAAATTAAGACTATTCTTTAGACTGAGCCCCAGTAGGGAAATGATGGCATATTCTAAAGGGGCAGTTGAAAAGAGTTGAACAAAGGAACATTGTACAAAACTGTGGGCAGAATTGAGAGAAAGTGGTAAGGGATCATGATGTATTGTGGCCCTACATTGGGTAGGCAAACCAGGAACGCAGAAGGGATAGTTGCTAGAGCCCAGAGAAAGCCACAGCTGAAGGCAAGCCATTGACAGAAGCTGGGGAGCTGGCGGGGCAAATAAATATCTCAACCTTTCTTTTCTCTTACTCTCTGAACATCTGTGGACATCTCTCATTGGCCTAATTTGACCAGAAGAGCAAGTGTATTAGTTACCTATTGCTGTGTAATAAATGACCATAAACTTTGTGGCTTGAAGCCCATTTTATTACCTTGGAGTTTTGTGGGTCAGGAATGCAGAAAGAACTTAGTTCTCTTCTCAGGGTCTTCTAAGTCTGTAATCAGTTTTGACAGGGGCTGCAGTTTCATATAAGCCTCAGGGTTCTCTTCCATGCTCTGGTGGTTGTTGGCAGAATTCACTTCCTTGCAGCTGTAGAACTCATTCCTGGTTGCTCTTTTCATCAAAGCCAGCAGGAGACTGTCTTTCTGACTACTAGACACTACTTTTAAAAAGTCACATAATTATATTAAGCCTACCCAGGATAACCTGTCTTTTGATTAACTCGAAGTCAACTGATTAGGAATCTTAATTACATCTGCAAAAATTCCTTCACTGTTACCTTATAACATAACCCAATAAGAGGGGTAACATTTCATAATATTCATAGATACTTCTCATACTCAAGAGGAGGGGAGTATTCAGAGCTTGCACACCAAATGCTCAGACTCTCGGTCTCTGCAGCCTATAGAAGTCGGCCTCTCAGGCACGGAGGAAGAAAAAGAGTAGATCTCCTTATGTTGTGGATCTCTGGGTACAAAAACAATATCCAACCTCATAAGATTTGAAAAGTGGCAGACTACAGGATCTTAGGACTCTTGCCTCCTACTCCAAAGTGAAATGTTTTTACTAAAGGAATGGCATGTTGGAGATGCAAGTTACAAAAACAGATCTCACATTTGGTAGAGAGTAATAGCGCACTGTAGAAAGTACAGTGAGAGACTGTAGGTAGTAGAACCAGTTCCTAGCTTTTGTAACTATGCACAGAAGTGGTAACGGGGGTCTAATGTCCATATGAAAAATAAGCCAAAGTGAAAGCTATAATGGAGATGGGATGTGCAGGTTGTGCCTTGTGGATGGGTAGGAGAGTTTTGCAGAGGGAAAGAACCAACAGTATCTGTAGGGTTTGGAGCCCAGGTGAAAAAAACAAAAACAAAAACAAAAACTAGTGGAGCCCTTAACATGGGGGAGTATGAGCAAAAGCCTGACAAGAGACTCAGGGATGATTCTTTCTGGAAGTACCTAGAAAATTCTGGTTAAATATCCTCATAGAGTTCTTCTGGAGTGATAATTAGGCACTGGCCTGGAGATCAGGAGAAGGATTAGGGAATTGAGTTGTAGATTTCTGAGCTAAGGCTTAACCATTTGAAGAGGAAAAAATTGCCAAGGAAGTGCATGGAAGATGTCACAGAAAAAGTGTTCCGAAAAATAAAAAGCAGACAATGGTGATTTGTCTTAGAATTCATAAGAGAGGAGTTCTCAGAAGAAGAAGCTCATCTGCAGTCTTAAATGATGGTGAGGAGTGTGGAACAAATAGATGAAAAGTTTGCAGCTCCTTGGTGAGGTTTCTAGATTGCAGATATAGAAGAAGAATGAAGTGGAGCAAGGCTAGTGGGGTTGATGTGGGAGTGGAAGGAAAGGAAGCTGAGTCAGAGTGGGGAATAACTTTGGGGTATATGTAATTTGGCTGTTTAAAAAAATTCAAATAATGAGGGAAGCTAGGGTCAAAAGAGAGACTTTAAAAAATTGAACGAACATGACTGACACTTGTAGGAACGAGTTGACTTAGAAGAACTCAAGTTTCCACCTGAACAATAAATTTGATCAACTCCTCACTATATGGCCCTTTGGGCTCATCTGGCAAATGTTCTCAATTTCTTCAATATGATAGCAAGGAGTCTTCATCCTCAAATAGATCTTTGAAATCAGCCCTTGTGGTAGAAGCCCAGTTATTGCCTAGAAGATGTTTGCTCAAATGTGGAAACGCCTGAGACTTTTCCTATATATTAACTTATTCTCAAGATAACTTTCATCCCAGCAAATCACCTGAGCCTCCCAGCCTTTCTCTTTCCTGGTTTCTGGCCCTCCATCCTGGGACAGAGCTAGCTATGCAGAGGTGACTCTTCGCCAATGAGGCGGACTTAAAGTCTTATCTGTAACCATTTGCTGGAGGGTTCCTCTTCATTTGAACTTAACAGTGATCTGTTGGAAGGTCATCACTTCCAACCCAGAACACAACTTCTTCTTTTTTTTTTTTTTTTTTATTATACTTTAAGTTCTAGGGTACATGTGCACAACGTGCAGGTTTGTCACATATGTCTACATGTGCCATGTTGGTGTGCTGCACCCATTAACTCATCATTTACATTAGGTATATCTCCTAATGCTATCCCTCCCCGCTGCCCCCACCCCACGACAGGCCCCGGTGTGTGATGTTCCCCTTCCCGAACACAGCTTCTTCAGAGTTCACTCTCAAAGAGGACAGGAGTGGCAACCTAAGCACTGCAAAGACAAAGCATTTCTGTGGAGATGACAGATACCTGGAAAATTCTTTTCTCTTCCAATCCAGGACACCAGTTATCGTATATGTGTAGGACTTTGAATGGAAAGCTAATAGAAAATAACATGAATGGGCAAGTGCATTTCTAGTGACTTGAAAATAGGAAAATAAGATCTTGTTTCTGTCTGAGCTGGATCTTCAGGAATACCCCCCCCACAATGTTGCTCCTCCATACCCAGCTATCTTCATCTCATTTATCTCCCAAGAGGAATTCTAATACAGCAAGTACAGGCTCTTTGTGTCTCCTGCACATGACGTTCATATCCACCCTGGTGACTTCTACTCATGCCCTTTATTACCCTCGGGGTCACTACCATTTTCCATAGCAGTCCCAATCCTATTGTTTCTTTCCATTTCGCTTTGTGAATGAAGAGACCCAATAATCTGTCATACAAACAGATAGGTTTTTTTAAGAGTGAAATGTGAAGATGTGAATACACTGGAATAACAGGGGTCAACAAGAACTGTCCCAGGCACACAGGACCTGTGGTCACTCCATAAAGCCCTCCCTGACATTTCCAGATCTCAGCTCTTTCTCTTCTCTGAAATCCCATTCCATACTTTGTCTATGCAACTTTTAACACTATTTGTTATCTATCTCATAGTGGTCTTGAGCTTCCTTTCCCCTGACACATTTATTTGTAATTGTCTTAATTTCTTAAACTTTCTTTGTATGAATTGGTAGTAGCTATCAGAGTGATACATCTCAGTAAACTTTTATAAATGCTTTTAAGTTTGATTTAACTTACTGGTACATTGAAATATTTTATCTTTTTTATTCTCAAAAACATTTATTTGAATAATTAGGAGTTACTAGGAGGCTAAGTACATATAAAATAGTTAGGTCCTTTCCTTGATTGTAAGCTGCTTGAGATCAGAAATGTTTATTAAAAAAGTAAAACTAATTGGTGGTTTAATTCAAAGTGCCCTCAAGTTTTTAAAATGTTTTAAGTGCAGGATTCAGAAAAGATCTGATTGTATCACAGAAAAAAAAATAACCAGTTGACAAATGAAACTTCAGTTATTGATACAACTGTTGGAGTTACTTCTTTATGAGTGATTTCCCCAGATTTATATTTATCTCCAATAAGTAAGCAATACATTCAAGAGCAGAGGAGGTGATGCAAGTCAAAAAAGAAAGTAAAAAGAAGGCATTATCAGTAGGTGAAAAGTGTCTCTAAATAGTTCTTTAAATAGTTGAAGTTCTCTAGAGAACTTCAACAAAATCAACGAAGAGTTTATATATTGGCTTTGCTGGAGAATTTCTGTGTGGTCATTTCCTCTTTACAAGACAAAATCTTCCAGGAGAATAATATATTTGTAAGTTCTAATTAATACCTAGGGATTCGTCATCTACTGATTTGCATATTTCTGTGCCTTTCACAGCTTGTTGGGCCACACAAAGCCTAGCAGCCTGGCATAGTTATATTTGAGCTGTCAGTCATGTGCGTCTCTCTATAGGTCCTTAATGGGACCAATTGTAAATTGTAAATTATTTTCATCTTGGTTACCTGTTAATTCAGGTGAGATAATTTGGCAAAGGCAAAAAGGGTTTGAGCATAATGACTTTAGAATTATGATTACAACATACTCAGATTGAACAATAGCAACCCAAGAGAATCACTTTGACAGTGTTTTTTAGTGGATATTCTCACCCTGGACATATTTCACAAATTGTCTTAATGTAATGAGGAACAAAATGTTCTGCTCCTTTCCCTAATTAATATTGAACTGAGCAAATAGTCTGAGGTATATGTAAGCTGAGAGATTATGAGAAATATCACATTTTATCCTGTTATATTTACAATGACCACTCAATGGCATCAAAGACCAGATGTAGCTGCCATGTCAAGGTCTACCACAGCCCCCTCAGCCCTGACCATCCCAGTGCATACCTGATTGCCAACTAAGGGCTTTTCCCATTTGGTGCAGTTTATTCTGCCCACATGCTGCTGGCCAGATGCCCTAGAGAATTAATATGTCCCAGGAGCAACCCTCAATCAATGACCAATGGGAGTTAGCGTATGAATACCCCATCTGCCTCTAGGAGGGGTAATTCTGAGGTGCATGATCTGAACTGACTCAGTGAGCCACAATGATAACTGGCTTAAGAATGCATCCTTCACAGGCTGCCTTGCCTTCCCTACCTCAGCTTCCCATTCCCCTAATTGTGTTTTCACCTCCCTCTATCTTACTTGTACTTGAACTCTTGCCATCCAGTGAGCTTCTGGAGGAACCCAAAATGAACACTGGAGTTTCTGTTGAACTGAGATAGTGCCTATCAAAATGGCTTTGAATTTAAATCGAATGGCACTTTGCCACAAATGAAATAAAACTGTTGGCTTTGGAGACCTGTTTCCTCCTGCCCTTGCTTTATTTATTCATTCAATGACTTTCACTTTTCCAAGCACTGCTAAGTTTCCGGAGCTACAAAGATGAATATGGCGATGTATAAAAATCAACCAAACAGAAGTTTATACAAGGTACAGAAATTGAACCAAGAATAGAGTTACCACCTACAGCTGAAGGTCAGAAAAGGTTTCCTGGGAGGACATAGCACTTGAGTTGGATCATGAAAACTGAGCAGGTGTTGGGCAGATAGACAAGGTGGGGGGAGGGAATTCCAGGCAGAAGGAACAGCAGGGGTAAAGGCAGAAAAGCATGAAACATCAAGATGCATTAAAGAAATGATCAGCAGCTCAGTATGACAGCACAGAAGAGGAGAAAGGGGTGCCAATATTTTGCTGGGCAAAGGAATTTGGACTTTTCCTTGTAGGCTCTACTTTGCTTTTGAGAAAAATCTCTTCAGTAGAAGTGAGCATGATGGCTTGGAATACAGCCAGATCACAGGCAGAAGGATAAATTAAAAGGCTGTTATAATTGTTTAAGCAAGAGATAGAGAGTACTTGCACTCAGCGGAAGCATGGGGTGAAGGAGAAGGCTGTTAAGAGATTGAAATGGTAAGATCTGGTGGAACTTAATGGTCTATAAGGAATGAAAAAGGAGTTGAAATGATAGCATAGAAAATACAGAAGCAGGAACATGTTCTACTTATAAATGCATAGAGATTGAGAAAATTCTTGAAAAAAAAATACTCATTTAGTTTCCAGAATCCAAATTGTCAATTCCCACAATTGTCAATTATTATTATATCCTGAAAATTAGTCTCTTAAGATCATTCATGCCAGTAGGTGTATATCAAATAGGTAAGCTGTATTTTTACAAAGTGAGGCTAATCATTTTTAGGTTATTAGGGAGCCATTTTTTTGGTTTAAACAATTCATTAATAAAAGACCAATTTGCATGTATAAAGTGGCTAACAGGCAGTATTTGGTGTGATCCAGAGTAGAATAAGTTATAAGACCATTAGGGAAAACAGCTATAATTTCATTAAATGCCTTAAAAATTAATGTTAGCAATAGATCTGCATTTCTTGCAGCTGATTTTTGCTTACTTGGTATTGATTCAGCAGCTTACTGTTTCAATGTCTTATTACACAAGTAAACTACTAAGTAGGCAGAAAAGATGGAGCTCCAGGGAAGTTAGTTACTTTAATATAGTGAGGAATGAATGCTGATGAAATACACAACAACTTAAAGGTGAAATGCAAATTAAATTTTATGATTTACTTATATGTACCTCATACACAATTATAATAAAATATCCCTGAATACAATTTAGTTTATTTTTGAAAATTTTAAGTTTGGTTAGCTTTCTATAATGAAAACCTCAGAGACATGTTTATGGCCAAGTATTATCTTTGTACCAGCTGTTAATCAGGAAAAATATAGAAATTGTATTATATTTGTTCTACCATTTGAGACACTATGGAGTGGTTGTTGCAAAGAAGGAAGGAAGGAAGAAATCAAGGAAGGAAGGAGTAAGACAGGGAGGGAAGGAGGGAGTGAGGGAGGGAGAGAAAAAGAGAAATCAAATCTACTTGTTTGTTCATTTCTCATGAAAGCATTATAGGGAGAAAAGATCTCTGATCATTTGAGTGTTCTTATCTAGTTCAGAGTAAATTTGGATTTACCTCACTTTAGTTAGAGAGCAAATACAGTGTCCCAAAGTGCCAAACATAGAATCAGACAGAACTAGAACTATTTGGCTATTTTAAGTATAGATGTATTTGCCAAAATTTACCTCGGTCATATATTTTAAGTGATTTTCATTATGGAGCTACCAGGAGATGTCTGAATTGCATTCCTACATGTCCTCTTTCATTTTCAGCAATAAACAAATGAAGCACTTTTAGATAGGAAGCAACTTTTAGATCAATTGACTCTTGTTTCATGTCCTACATCAGTGTATTAGTCTGTTCTCACACTGCTTTCAAGAACTACCTGAGACTGGGTAATTTATAAAGGAGGTTTAATTGACTCACAGTTCTGCATGGATGGGGAGGCCTCAGGAAACTTACGGTCGTGGTGGAGCGCAAAGGAGAAGCAAGCACATTCTTCACAAGGCAGCAGGAGAGGTTGTGGGGGGAAGCGCCACACATTTATCAAAGAACCAGATATCGTGAGAACTCACTCACTATCACAAGAACAGCATGGGTGAAACTGTCCCCATGATCCAATCACCTCCCACCAGCTCTCCCCCTCAACATGTGGGGTTTACAATTTGGGTCCGGACACAGAGTCAAACCATATCAATCAGTAGTTAAAAATCAAAACTGGGCGATTCCCCTGTTTTGATGATTTGGCTTCTAGCTTCAATTAAGCCACAAAAGGAACTGAATGTGAACAGCTTTTCTCCAGTTGTCTTTCTATCTCTTTTTGAAATAACTTGAGTGAGGTGGATTAACCATAAAATGAACACCTAATTAATTCTACATTGAGTGTGCTTTAATGAACACTTTCAGAATTGTATTCTGAGTTACTTTCCTTGCTGTGCTCCACACTGTTTTCTGAGCACTATGGTCTCCCCACCAAGTCTACCCTAATAGGAAAGCCTCCAGGCATATCTGGGATTTTTCTTGTTTTAAAAAATATTTACTTATATTTTATATATTTAGTATTTAATTGACAAAGTTTAAATATATTTAAGGTGTACACCATGATGACCTGATATACATATACATTTTACAGTGATTACCACTGTCATATTAACATACCCATCACCATTCCTGCTGTGCATGAGATCCCCAAAACTTGTTCATCTTGTATTTTAAAGTTTGTACCCTTTGACCAACATCTTCCCATTACCTTCTTCAACCCCTCAATCCCTGGCAACCATCATTCTACTCTCTGGTTTTATGAGTTTAATTTTTTTGGGTTCCACAATATAAGTGAGATCATACAGTATATGTCTTTATGTGTCTAGCTTATTTCACTTAGCATAACATCCTCCAGTTTCATCCATGTTGTCACAAATGACCTGATCTTCTTCTTTTTAAAGGCTGAGTAATAGTTCATTGTTTATATGTACCATAATTTCTTTACCCACTTATCCCTGGATGGGTGTTTAGTTTGTTTCCATATCTTGGCTGCTGTGAAAAATGCTGCAAGAAATTTAACCAAGGAGGTGAAAGATATGTACACTTTAAACTATAAAACATTGATGAAATAAATTGAAGAAAACATTAAATGTAAAGCTATCCTGTGTTTATGGACTAGAAGAATTAATATTGTTAAAAAGTGTATACTACCTAAAGCCATGTACATATTCAATGTAATCTATCAAAATTCCAATGTCATTTTTCAAAGAAATAGAAAAAAAATCTTGACATTTGTATGGAACAACAGAAGACCTGGATAGCCAAAGCAATTTTGAGAAAAAAGAACACAGCTGGGAGCAGCACAGTCTCTTACTTCAAACTATATTGCAAAGCTATGGTAATCAAAACAATATGGTACTGACATAAAAACAGACACAGAGACCAATGAAACAGAATAAAGAGCACAGAAATAAATCCACACACATATAGTTAACTGATCTTTGACAAAGGCACCAAGAATAAACAATGGGGAAAGGAAATTATCATCAATAAATGGTGTTGGGAAACCAAACATACACAGGCAAAAGAATAAAACTGGATCCTTGTCTTATACCATATACCATAAGATTAGGACTTAAATGTAAGGTCTGAAACCATGAAACTCCTAGAGGAAAACACAGGGGGGAAAGCTCATTGACATTGGTCTTGGCAATAATTTTTTTGATAGCATAGGCAACAAAAGCAAAAATAAACAAGTAGGACTACATCAAACCACTAAGCTTCTGCTCAGAAGAAAAAGGATCAACAAAATGAAAAGGCAACCTATATAATGGGAGAAAATACTTGCTGACATTTCTGTTTTTAATAAATTTGAAAGGCCTTGCTTTGGAAGAAGCAGGTTCAGAGTTGGAGAAGGAGATCTAGGAGAAGAAGGCCACTGTCTTACTATGTGGGCCAGGCTGCCATCAGCAAAGGAGGAGAATGCAACTGGACCCCACCCCCAAGACAAATGGCAAATGCTAGTCTTCTTTAGCCCCCAAGACATGTCTCACATAGTAAACCAAATATGTTGCTCCTAGTTTACAAAAGAGCTGAATATTTTAGGGAATTCTCTCTCATTTTAACGTGAGAAGTTTATAAACTATTAAAAATTAAACAATAATGACATCATATTTTATTTTAAATAATATTTTAAAGTTTTTTTTTTAAGACAGGGTCTCACTTGGTTGCCCAGGCTGGAGTGCAGTGGCATGATCCTAGCTGACTGAAGCCTTGAACTCCTGGGCTCAAGCAATCCTCCTGCCTCAGCTTCCCAAATTGCTGGGATTACAGGCGTGAGTAACCATAGTTAGCCAAAGTATTTTTAATTGAGAAAAGTAAAGAAAGAAAAATATAATGACTCATAGTTCTCTTACCCAGATGACCTCTGTTAACTTAAAAAATAATGATATACACATGTCAAAAATTTTTTAAAATGCCAAAATATATAAAATTAAAATAAAATAATAAATACTAATAAAAGACTTTGTTTCTAAAGGTAAACAGGGCTAACATGCATATTTAAACAGGAGAATCAAGGCAAATGCACAGATGTACATGTGTGTATATTTGTGTATAAACCTTTGCACAAAGGTCTGACATCGCAGTCAGTAATATCCACATCTTCCTAGGGTTTTGATTTTTTTTAAATAAATATATCTTGGCCAGGCGTGGTAGCTCATGCCTGTAATCCCAGCACTTTGGGAGGCCGAGGCAAGCGGATCACGAGGTCAGGAGATTGAGACCATCCTAGCCAACATGGTGAAACCCCGTCTCTACTAAAATACAAAAACTTAGCCGGGTGTGGTGGCACGTGCCTGTAGTCTCACCTTCTCGGGAGGCTCAGGCTGGGGAATCACTTGAACCCAGGAGGTGGAGGTTGCAGTGAGCTGAGATTGTGCCACTGCACTCCAGCCTGGGTGACAGAGAGAGACTCTGTCTTAAATAAATAAATAAATAAATAAATCTTGGAGATCTATTCATACAGATCCACTTCATTGTTTTTAAGGGCAGTATTATTGCCATAATTTAATTTCTCCTCCTGATGGACATTCAGCTATTTCCAGTTTTTTTTTTCTTTCTGCTCTTATAAGAATGTTTTAATTAATACATTTATAAACAATTTTACTAATATACCCAGAGGGGACATTTCTAACAATAGATTTTCTGGGTCAGAAAATGTGCATTAAAAAAAAATTTAAAGATTGTACATGAATCGCATTTCACAAAAGTATGTGCTGATTTACTCTATCCTCAATGGAATTCACATCAGCTTTGGACACCATCAAATGTTAGTAAAACGGTAAGGTAACAATTCTGCCTTCTTTTTTTTCTTTTTTTTTTTGAGACGGAGTCTCCTTTTGTCGCCAGGCTGGAGTGCAGTGACGCAGTCTCGGCTCACTGCAAGCTCCGCCTCCCGGGTTCACGCCATTCTCCTGCCTCAGCCTCCCGAGCAGCTGGGACTACAGGCGCCCGCCACCACATTCGGCTAATTTTTTTGAATTTTTAGTAGAGACGGGGTTTCACCGTGTTAGCCAAGATGGTCTCGATCTCCTGACCTTGTGATCCACCCACCTCGGCCTCCCAAAGTGCTGGGATTACAGGAGTGAGCCTCCGTGCCTGGCCAATTCTGCCTTATTTTAACTTGCATTTCTTTTTATTATGAATGGGGCTGAAAATCTTACCTTCTACTTACTAGCTATTATATTTCGGTTTGCTTTTACCAGATTCTTTGCCCACTTTTCTGGCTTGTTCGCCTTTTCCTCATTAACTTAAAAAGCAAGCAAAAAAAAAATTGTATTACTATTATCACACCTACTTTTTAAAATTATTTTTACAGGAATTTTATCTATTAAAGAAATGTGTCCTGTCTCAGAAATGTGTTATAAATATTTTTCCATCTATTGACTGTATTATGATCTTATTATATATTTTTTGTACAGAAAATTCAAATGTTGATGTAATTAAATGTACTCATCTTTAGCTTTGCGATTTCTGTGCTGTCTGCCTTAAATTAAAAGGTATTTTCATTCTCCAAGATTATACATTTACCAATGCTTTCTCACACTATTTTAATGGATTAATCACTGATCTTTAAATCCGTGACTCATCTGAAATTTATTTTCATTTGCCAGCTTCCCATCACATTTATTGAATTATCTATTATTACTAGTTTGAAATGACATTTGTCATATAGTATCCCACTTATGTTTGAGAGTCTTTCATTGACCTGTCCATCCATTTCTTTTTATCTTAACTAGTTGCATTGGCTAGTCTCTTTCTACTAGAGGATAAAGTGTGAAGGAGCAGGGATCTTGCATGTCTTGTTTGTACAGAAAGTCCTTCCTTACTTACCATGTCAATAGGTTCTTGGAAACTGCAACCGTAAGTGAAGAGAGGTATAAGAAAAACATTTTTTTCTCATAAAATTATAATAAAATGACTTTGAATGGAACCATGTTATTACAGAACCTGCTGTACCTCATTTGGCTTAAAGTCACCATTTCTAAGAACCTACCAATGATATTAAATGAAGAATTACCATAGTTACATCCATACCACTTAAAACAGTGCCTGGCACATAGTGGTCTTCAAAAACACTAGTTGAACACATGGATAAGAGGAAGCTCTATTTCATGATTTGTCTACTTTAGATATAATCTACTCATTCTCCATACAAAAGTGGGGAAATGAGTACACTGACACATCTTCCCAGCTCTGCCCCCTTACTTCCTGATATCCTGTTGCTCTATTATTATTTTTGCATTTTTGCAAATTAGAATGTATACATTCTGAAATCATATTTCTTACAATGATTATTTTTTAGTTTATTTTACCATTTTATTTTATTTTTGACACAAGGTCTCACTCTGTCCTCAGGCTGGAATGCAGTGGCAGAGTTACGGCTCACTGCAGCCTCAACCCCTTGGGCTCAAGTGATCCTCCCTCCTCAGCCTCCTGGGTAGCTATGACTACAGGCATGCATCACCATGCCTGGCTAGTTTTTTAAATTTTTTGTAAAGACGGGGTTTCACCATGTTGCCCAGGATGGTCTCAAACTCCTGGGCTCAAGCATCCCCTGCATCAGCCTCCCAAAGTGCTGGGATTACAGGTGTGAGCCACTGTGCCTGGCCCCACATTGATTTAATTTTAATTCTGTATGTAAATAGGTTTAGCACACACATTTATAGTCTTATCAGGGCTTCCCTTGTTAAGGTAGATTTTATTAAGAAGAGCTTATGGACTTCATGAGATTCATTTTTTTCTTATTTAATGAATTAACTAACAGTTACATAACACTTTCTATATGCCACAAAGTGATTTAAAAATATTAAGCAATTTAATCATAAAAGCTATAACTTTTGAATGTTTGCATATAATTCAGTTGGCATCAAGTAAGTGTGCTCTCTTGACTTAGTTTAGAATTTTTACATGAACCCCTACCTTACCTACCCACCACCATCCCAAATAACTTGAAGACATTGCTATATTACCACTGGTGATAGATGTTACCGTAGCTAAGTCCATGGCCAGTTTTAATTTTCATCCTCATACTCAGTTTTCTTTTTCTACTTGTATTCCTAAGAAAATTATCTTGATCTTTGAAGTTGCAATTTTTGTAAGATATATCTGTGTTTTCTGTCATGTATTCATTTGTTCTAGAACACATTATATAACACATTCAATAAATTGGCTAGTTCAAATTGCTTTCATTCAGGTAACATTTTCTTGTATTATATATTCGAATCTTCTCTCTTCCGTTTGTTAGGATTTATAATGAAGATACTTCATATAGTCACCAGATTGCCCTCATACCCTCCAAGTGCACATTTCTTCCCGTAGAAGATAGGCATTCACTCACAATCTCTAATCTCCGTTACAGGGGTAGAATAGAGGCAAGGGGTGCATTTAGGAGGTGGTGGGGAAGACGCCAGAGCCTCTAATGTCTCCAACCTTGCCTCTTTTTAAAGATGTTGATTTGAGTAGTGGGCCCTTTCCTTTATTTGAACCCTAGTGGTATTTTTTTCTCTCTCTCCCTTTTTTCTTATATTTTTATTTTAAAAACTTTATTAGTATGTTTTATTCCACCATTCTGCTTCAGACTGTGCGTCTCTACTATTTATTTACCAGGCAGCATTCCATGTGCTTTAGCTACTTTGATTTAAAAGCAGAGGTCACCATGCGAGAATAGCCTTTTAATCCCACAAAGTTCACTGGCAATAAGTGACTTCCCCAAGGCCACCAGATGATTATACTGGGGGTAGGACTGCTCACGTGTGGTAGCTAGAGAAATTATGTTGATGAATTGTTAAGAATAGCCAAAGCCGATTATAGCATACATGATAACCACGTTTATTAAGCACATACTGTGCTGATTACTCTAAGCAAAAATTAATTCATTTGGTCCTCTTCACAATACTGTAAAGTAGACATGTTTATTATTCCTATTTTATAGAAGAAAGATAAAAGGAACAGGGGGGTTACAGAATTTATCCAAAGCCATCCAGCTCCAAGGAGTAGAAATGGGAATCACATCTTGGTGGTCCGGTCCCAGAAGTGGTGGTTGGAACCCTTTTCTTATGCTGTCTAAGCTTAAGTCCAAGCTACATTAAGCTTACTTTATTGCACATGTAGACTTTAAAAGAAGTTTCGTTGCCCTAGGAAGGCTGAAAAAGCTTTCTAATTAAGTCAACTCCTTCAACTCCGTCCATCATTCAGATATTCCATGTAGGATATTCCTGATGACTGGGTTTATTCAAGTTCTTGCTGAACTAATTGGGTGATTTGATTTCATGCTGGCCCATCCTTAATTAATAAAAATAATTTAATTGCTAGCCCCTTTAACATTTTTGTCTGCACATTTAGAGGTTATGGCAGAGAATGTTACTGTGAACTGTTGTGTTCCAATAGCCATCTTTTGTCTGCTTCTGCATTGGTGGGAGAGGAAAGGGCAAATTTGCAGCCAGTCATGTAATTAGAATTAACCTTGGCTATAAAGACCCGACAGACCAACCAGCCTGATCACTCCAATATTTGTTTGTCTGCACGTGAAATTCGTGTCTTAGATCATGACACAGAAGGAAACCTTCTTTTGAAATTTTTCTCTATACCAATCAAATTGCTCCCTTGGGAAAACATCATAAAGAAATGTCATCAAGTACATTAATAGTAGCATTCACCAGAGCTATTTTTTACAAAGCCACATTTGTCACAAACTCAGATTTTAATGAAAAACAGAATTTTGGTGAGTTGAGTGGTTTTCCCATTATTTTTCAGCTTAAATTTTTTGATAGTCACTGGCCTCATAAATTGAACTTGTATTCAAAAGATTAAGCTAAATTAGTTCAGTAGTTTACAGTTAAGTTAAAACAGAAATACCTACATTTTTCTCTGAGAATCACACACACACACACACACACACACACACACTTTCTCTCTCTCTCTCTCCAACGTCACCTTATTAAAATATTTTTTTTTCTTTTCTCTCTGCTGAGTATTACTCAAAAGTACCTAAAGGTTTAATATTCAAACTTGGCAGTTGTAAAATCCTCCCAGGGGAGGAAATTCAGGAGAATTTAGAGAAAATTGGCTTAGCAATGTGTTTTGAATATAGGCAACAGAACATTTTCTGTTTGGGTACAACTACATCAATGAAACTTGAGTCCGTGGAAGTCTTGTCTGATGCCATTTAGAAGGTTGTCAGAGTTAAGGGAGGCGTTAGAAGAATACCAGTTGGAACAGAGAACTGCCTAAAGGAAAGACTCTATTTCCTTCCATTTCCTGCTGTAGATAAATGAGGACCAAATATAGGAAACCATAAGGTCATTTCAGCAAATAAAAACCAACACACCATTCTGGGTATCGTATATTGTGGTTATTGTTTCTGGTATTTTGCCCAGTGTGATGGATTCAAGCATGGCTGCAAATTCTTTGACGCTTTGACACTCTTCCCACACTCCTAGTTTTGAGTGGGCTCATCACTGCTTTGACCAAGAGATTAAAGTGCAAGTTACACTAGGTGACTTCTGAGGCCAAATCATGCAAGACCAGGCAGCTTCCACCTTGCTTGCTAGAATGCTCACTAGTAGAGCTGTGAGCCTTCATGCAATAGGTCTGACTAACCTGAGGTTGCCATATCGAAGACAATAGCATAGCATAGTGGTTAAGAACACAGACTCTAGAAGTAGAACCCCTGGGTTCAAATCCTGGCTCTACCAACTGCTAACTTTTTAACTGCAGGGCTATTACTTAATGTCTCTGTGTTCCAGTTTCCTCATTTGCAAAATGACGAGACATGATAGACCAGTGCACATGACCTGTCCTCATATCTGTACCTTCCATTGCTTGAAAAAGTAAAATGTGATAATATTTATCAAGTCCTTAGAATAATGTAGGCAAATAATAGACACTGTGGCAGTATCAGTTCAATAAAACATGCACATTATTTTAGATATGCCTTGCAGGTTTAGAAGCAGATTGCACTCAATATGTTTCAGAATCAAGTCATTCTGCGTTTTGGATTGCAGAGAACAGATCCCCATGGCAGCAAGTAAAAAGGTTGCTAAAACTGTGATGGACGTCAGCAATTCAGACCAAAGAAAATTCTAGCATTTAAAAAGCAGGATGCTTCTGAAATACTTCTTTTCCTTGCATTTCTCCTACTACATTCTGGGCTAATGTTTGCTGTGTTTATATCATTGAACCAGACATTTCCCTACTCACGTCCTAGTACTGAGTAAGATATTTGAACTTATAAAATTTAAATTTACCTGTCTAAAATAGTTACCAACAGGTACTCCCTCATCTTCCAGCTTGTCTCACCCTCTGAGGGATTAGGTTATAAAAATGAATGAAATCATCGTTCCTGTTTAGTGGATAATCCCAAGGCTAAAATAAAAAATGGAAGGAGGTGGACAGCAAAGAACATTTAAGGAAAATTGAAGATATATGGGTACAGAGAGACCTAACTAGATATCTCATAGGGCAAATTATTGGCAAACACATCACAGCCTGATTGTGATTCTCCTTCATTCATTTTAAATCAGAATAATAAAAATGGAGCTAAAATTCACTCATCAAAGTACACTTAAGAGATAGGTTAATTATCTAGGGCAAATGTACAAATATACTTGTCTTCTGAGACACCAGTGTCCTAGTCATTTGCCAGTTAGTAATAATTCCCATATCCTGCTCTGGAAACTGCATTTCTCAGGCTGCTTTTCTCCCTGGGTTTCTTGTAGATTTAGGCAAACAGAGGCTCTGTTGGAAGGCTGGAGGGGGGAGATGGAAGAAGCCAGGGTAATTCTCCCCCTCTGTCTGTGCTTCAGATTACATCCCTGGCAATGATTGTCCCCTCTATGATTTAAACTTCCACTGAGAAGACCTCACCATGGCCGTAGCTTCCAAATTCTGGCCCTGGTAACACCATTTACTCCTGCTAACCTTAGAGGTTAATTGCTGTCATTAACATGTGGGTTGCCTCACCATCCCTTCTATGGGTTCCTTGCTCCTCCATATTTCTGTCAAGTCCCTCTATTAAATTCCTTCTGTTTGATACACCTAGAGTAATTTCAGTTTTCCTGACTGTACCTTAGATACTCCACAAGCAATTCTTTATTATTTATGATAAAAAATAGAAAGGAGTAGTGTTGTTTTATTGACCTGACTTTTATAAACAAAACATTTGCCTATATTGAAGATGTTAAACATTCATATTAAGTATGATTTTCTTATTAAATAACTGGGCCATGGTTGTGATACACTTAGGAGTAATTCCATTTAGTGGACATCGGAGTTGAGTTGCTCAAGAGAGTGCATTGCCTCTCAGATGCAGTCAGATCCTCTTACAGTCACCTCATATGGGCTCCTCACTGTGCATTCTCTGTTTTTGTCGTACCAATTGTGTAATATGTCAAACTCATGCATGTCAGAACACGCATAAAAATTCATCACCCAATAGAAAAAGCTACTCTCACCACCATGATTTAACAGATAATTAATCTTTACGCTGATGATTCTTTTCCTCAAGTAACATTTTTATTGACCCTCAGGACTACCAAGACTCGGTAGCAATCTTTCCTCATAAACCATTTTATTTGCTTGCGTGTCATCAATGTGAGTGCCTGGATACAGAATTGAGTGACTGACTCCATCAGGAAATGCTGTCCTGAGGGATCTGAACCTCAGCAGAGAAGCTGGGATCCACAGTCAGAGCTGACTGTTTGCACGGAGGCTTCATTGCAGCTTAGCACATATGAAAAGGTTTTCTGTACTCAGTTGCTGGATGAAGCCGATTGCATCACCAGGAATTCCTGTCCTCTAACACATAGTGACCAACATGCCTTAATAAGCATTTGCTTTTTTTAATTTTCAGGTCAATAACGTAATACTTTCTGTCCATTATGAAACCAGTTTTTAAAAATATCTTTTTTAAGCTAGAAGAAAAGACATAAAATAATAATTCCAGTGCTCTGACTCTGGTATGTCCTGTGCACAAGTAGTCAGTCAGCTTAAGTTAGTGCAAATGATGGGGCAATGTCCATTCTTAAATATGACTGTGTTTCCAAGGCACAGCACCTGGCAAGAGGGGTTGTTGTCAGAGGAAGGAACTTGTATATCCTTCCATGAGGTAGATGCTCTTGGAGGGGGAGGGAAATTGGCTCCATGCAAAGTCAAGGAAGGCCAGCATCCTTTTAGCAAAGTAGAGTGCAGGAGCCAAGGGTTCAAAGTTAATACATTTTGGTTGGAAACATTGACATGAGGAGCTTAGGGATACAGATGTAGCAAACAGGATGCAGACCATCTCAGAAAGCCAGAAGATCTTAATCCAGCCAGCAGGCCATGTCAGAATTATGGCAACCCCAGTCAAACAGTGCAGAGGCAAAGAAAGAGGAAGTAGAGGATGGTGATGAGGTCATAAGCTAGAGGTTGGCTGGGCTAGAGGGAGCTAACCTCAGGATTGCCTCTGGAAGGGCTCCCTCTTCCCTTGCTCTGGGCCTAACTTCAGAATTGTCTTGTTTCCTTAAGGCGTTCAGATACCACAACACTGTGAAGTATCCCTTTTAGGAGCAGGAGCCACTAGGCTGCTCTGAAATGCCTTAAAGTACTGAAGGATATCTTCTGTCACACTGGTCCCCAACACCCACCACAGTCCTGTACCTAATGCCACTGGTACTGGTCTGCGGTCTGTTAGGAACTGGGCCACACAGCAGAAGGTGAGCAGTGGGCAAGGGAGCTTCACCCCCTGAGCTCCGCCTCTGTCAGATCAGCAACAGTATTAGATTCTCATAGGAGCTAGAATCCTATTGTGAACTGTGCGTGCAAGGGATCTAGTTTGCGTGCTCCTTATGAGAAGCTAATGCCTGGTGATCTGAGGTGGAACAGTTTCATCTCAAAACCATCCCCCTGCCCCAAGTCCACGGAGAAATTGTCTTCCATGAAACCAGTCCCTGGTGCCAAAAAGATTGGGAACCGCTGTTCTGGCATACTTAATTCTCTATGCTGATCCCTTGTTTGAGGAGCCTTTATCCACACAATGATAAACAATCATTTAGATGGATTTTCTTACCAGGCCAATCCTAGGAATTGCACAACCCTAAGATTTTCCCTAGTGTTTAAGAGACGTGATGTTGTTCTCAGTGAGATCCAGGTGAGTGCTTACAAATCAGCAATCAACTTTATACAACTAGCAAAGAGGCACCTGGGTATACATACAGATCCCAGGAGCCAGAGGTTTCACATGGCTAAATGACTTTAAATGACTTTGAGTCATGGATAAATTAGGATTTAGTGAAACAGGAATGTCGTTATGGAAATATTTTCAAGTTCTAATAGCATAATGCCCAAGCAGGAAGCTAAGTTGTCTAAACACAGACTGGACGTCAAGGAAAGGCATCCTTAGGTAACCAGTGTGTGTGTGTGTGTTTTTGTATGTGTATGTAAGAGTGTCTGTGCATGGGGAAGAGGTGACTCTGAGGAGTAGGGAAGAAGGTGATCAGGACCCAGGACTGCCCTGAAAGCAGTTGAGTACTTTCTTGGTGGCTTCTAGAACATTCCACAATTTCTGTATTTTTATTATTGTAGAAGGAAATCAATCAGAGCAAACATTCCCTCTCCTTACTCCATGTCAAACTGCCCAGATGCCTTGCCTTTGGGTCTCACTGAGTTTAGCAGCTCCTAACTCTTGGCCAGTCAGTAATACCCAGCTTTAAAAAGTATCAGATTTGGCCTAAAAAGTGCTTTTTAACTTTTGCAAAATTGTTGCCAAAATCTAAAATTTGGAAATTTTTATATAAAAAAGCCAATATTCCTGTTTTTTTTGTTTTTGTTTTTGTTTTTTTGTTTTGTTTTGTTTTTTGAGGGTGAGAAGATTTGACAACACCAGCCAGGCCTTCCTTCCCATGTAGCATCAGTGCACTGGACCAAAGCAGTCAGGCATCCCTCTAGATGGCATATGTGCTGCCCGGTTTCCCATGCCCCCAAATACCGGCCTCTGTTGCCATTTGTCGTCACACTCACAATATTTTTTTTCTTAATATAGAATAAGAGAACAGTAAAATATGTCTTGCACCAACATGTCTATTAAATGTAAGAAACATATATAGGCCTACAGCATCTATGTGTGCCAAAGTATGCTTTCTTATACCTGTTTTACTTAACTCATGTACATTACCGGAGTTAGACTAATTTATAATAGAAAAGTGAATGAAAATGGGTTGGACAGAAATCAATCTGTGGTATAAACATGAGCACTTGTGGGGGATGTCATTACTTCTGTCCTTGTTCTGTAGACAGCCATGTCAATATGGACATCAAAAATATAGAAGTTCGACTGGCTCAAGAATCTATCTGCTCAAGTCATTGGAATTTATTTGACTCTTTCATTATTGTAAGAAATGATCCTTGGAAATAGCTTTTAAAGGCTAAATGACACCACCTTTATTAACTGTGTGAATGACACAGAACTTTGCATAAACAGTGAGTTATGAAAAGAGTCAATGACCTCTTAGAATCTGGGAGGTTTAGACAGACACAGGTGAGTGGTAAAGCAGTTCCTGTCAGTTAAGACTTCTGAACAAATGGGGCATGTGGTATCTCAGTAGAATGAGATTTTTTAAGTGACTTTCCCTGAGCTATAAAATGCCTCTTAAAAAAAAAAGATGAAAACATTGTATTCTCTGAAAAAAAACTCTGAAGTCTTTAATATATTTCAGATCCTGTAGATTTTTTTAAATAGTCTTCCAAAGTAGCTTAAAAGGGAGGGGAATGCTGTTAGAATCAAACAATTAAAGACCCTTAAAATATGAAACACACATATGAATGGACAACAGCAATGACATTTACTAAGAGGCACGGTTTCAAAGAGAAAGGAAATAAAATGAAGGCAAGCACTTGATAAGAATGATGAATGGAACAACATGAATCAGTCGGTAACACAGGACCTTTCTTCCTGGGGTATGGGCGATCCTCAAAGTGCAGGATAATAGGCGCTCTGCAAATCCCAGGTCTAGGATTTTGTAAATACATCATAGAAAATCTAAAGAATAATTAATCTCAAGGACCAAACCCATTTCCTGGAATTTAAATTCAAGTTAAATTTTTGCGTGGTTTCTTAGTCTGGAGCTTCTACAAGAAAAAGATGCCAAAAGTGGATTCAATGGATTGAATGAAAGATTGAAAATTCAAATGTTGATTGTTCTCCATTCGTACTTCCTTCTCCCCAGTCCTCTCTCTTTGCACTATCCTGTTTTGTGTCCCATGAGGCGATATCTACAGATGGAACGATGCTATCCCGGACCTTGTAGCCTCTGGCTTCTGGCTTCTGGCTGCTAGGGGTACTGCCAAGAGATTTGAGGGCAGGTAGAAAGAGATAGAGAGGTCACAGTATGGCTCCCCCTCTTCTCTTCCTGCTGGGTCTCATGTGTGAGAGTCATTATGATCCCTTATCTATGCTCCAACTCCCATGGGGCTGTCATTCTTGGCATTATTGCTCCTTTTCCTTGTGCCTTTAGACCTTGGGGAGGTCACAGTTTCTTGCTGTTGGTAGTTCCTGGGTGTCTCAACATACCTCACCAGTTTCCTTAACTATTCAACTATTCTCACTCTTTTGCACATGATCTGGGCATTAAACTCTCTGTAACCAAGTCCCTTGTGTTACAACTCCCTTGTAACCAAGTCTCTGCTCCTGCCAAGACCCTGACAAGTATAATGCGTTTGCTGGAAGTCCTGGATAACTCTAAGTGTTTCAGTGTTATGATCAATAGCAATAATCATTCTAATAATAAAGTTAATTGAGAGCTTTCTGTAGGTTAGACAGTATATTTTATGCCCACTGTCTCATTGAAGGTTCACATCCACACCAGAGGTAATATATTGTTTTTACCATCTCTATTTTATATAGAGAGAAATTAAAGTTTAGAGAGATTAAATTGTTTGTTCACAGTTCGACAGCAACTAAGAGACCAACCTGAAACTCAAACTTGGGTTTTTTTGAAGCTATCATAGAAGGACAGAGTGGGCAAAGAGCTGTTCTGAAATTTCTGAGGGGCTGCTGCGGAAGAAGATTTGGATTTCTTCTGTGGAAGGCCAAAGGGCAGAATCACTCCCAAAGGGTGGGAGCAATGATGTGCTGATAAATGTTTAACAAGTGGTTCTCAGTATAACAGAGTGGGTAGTACTTGTGGAGGGAGAAGCCCTAATCTATAGCTTTTAGTAATTCCTGTGATGTAAACACACCCACCATAGCTGATTTCAAGCCACCAAATTGGCATCCCTAAGTGTGGAGTTGGGAAGAGTTGTGCACAATCGGCTTGAGAGTTGGTAACAGTAGGTGTGAATCTGCTCTTGTGCACCCCTGGATGGAAATACCAAAAAAGCGAATTTTGTCTAACAGGAAAAGACATGCAAAATGGCTATCGGTCATCCTGTGAAGGAATGAGTTAATCATTATTGTAGGTAACCAGAGGTTTGATGAGCTGTCATGGACCTCATAGAGGGAATTCCTGTGCTTGGTAGGACCTGAGACCATTTAGGTAATGTCTAACTCTAATACAGAATAATTTGTATTGAGGTTACATGAATTCTAGGTGGAGGGGGAGAGTAGAACTGTTGCATGGATTCTATGTGGAAGAGAAGAGGAGAAAAGGAAGAGATCTAGACAAACCTAAGAATCTAATTCCAACTTCACAGAGCTATGTCACCTTGAATAATATATGAAATCCCTTTTAGCCTTTTTTTTCATTTCTTAAAATGAAGATAATAACACCTTTCTCTTAGTACAAAATTAAATGACAGAGCCTTGGAAAAGTTATTAAATGTATTTCCCATGTCTCTCACTCTCACATTTCCATTCATTCTTCTTCTACTAGGGCAAAGAACAAGCATCTATATGAAAATTACTTTATAAAAAATATGCATGAAGAATTAATATCCAAGATTTCTACTTCAAGGTTTGACCTATGGTATTTAAAATATAAATATAATACATTGATCTGTATTATGGTGTGGTTCCACTGAAATTGGCTGTAAATTAAAAGGAAAGAGAAAGGGAAATCTACCAGAATCTTGACCACTAAATCTAACTAAAGGCCATGGAACCATTTCGAGATATCAGAAAGTCCAGCCAGCTGGAATGTGTTTTGTAATCCTGCCTGCAGTGTAGCACTATCAGAGGAAACAAACTAATGACCTGCCAAATTGGTTTTGGATACACCAACCCACATTGGCTCAGCACAGCAATGTTTAAAAAGAAGAAAAATAGAGGCCACCCTTCCAAGCCTTAAGTCATTTTAAGGGGCAGTCAGTATGTGACTCCAGAGCTTGCCTGCCCATTGAAAAAGGCTGCCAACATCCTCCAGGGAAGAGCAGGAAATTTCTTATGCAAATCTCTCCCCTCATTTACTTCTCCAAACACCCTCCTAAAAGCAGAGATGTCTGAATCTTAATCGCATACTTAAGAGCAGAGAAGGATGCCACTTGCATGAGCAGGACTTAAGGTATCTCCTTGTCATAGTGGGCCAAGCAGATAGCAAGATGGAAATGATATAAAAGCTGTTAACTAGCTTTGCCTTGAAGAAAGTTTTGCCATTAAGGGCCCTAATTAAACTTCAGAAGTGATATTCTCCTTAATTTTATTTCAAAAAAATATTTGAAGAAGTTATTAAATTTATTTCAAAAGTCACCACCTCATTTAGTGTACTGCTTGATTTCAGAGAGGCTGACAAGGAAGAATTGTTGATTGCCAAACCAAACTAAAGATCTACAAATCATTTTGAGTTTTATCCTCTTATAAACCTGAGAGGCTAAGACCTCTGCAAAGAAGAAGGGCATAAAGAAATAAATTTTGCAGCACCTACAATGTGCCAGACACTTTGCTGTTATCTTCTCGAATCCTCATTACAACCCTATTTTCTTTCTGTATATGTAGAAATTGAAGCTCAGGATCAAAAAGTAACTTCTTAAGATCAGAAAGAACCAAACTGGTAAGTATGAAATTCAACCCCAGCTCCAACTGTAAGAACTGTGCTTTTATTTTTTTCCGCATTACTTGACTTCCCACACTACTTAACTTCTTGAGTGGTTTTAATCAATATCAAGCATCTAGGCTAAAGATATCGGGCATCAGAATGATTGGGTGAAAAATACAAAGTCCAGTCCAATAGGGGCATAGCCTATGCCCATCTGAATTTAGCCCAGTGGGTTTGTGTATGTGAACAGGGCCTGCAGAGCTGGACTCTGCAGAGCCAAGGAAACCTATCTCCAGTTGGGAAGACAGAACAACACAGGAAAAACGTGTAGCCCATGGACACTACCCAGCAGCTAATTGAGTATAAATGGAGTGGCTCCATATCTAAGCTCAACAAGAGCTCAACAAAACGAAAAGTCCATGTAGGTAGGTGGAGGAGGTGTTACGAGAATCTCAGTAAAGATAGAGTCTTTGTAAAGGGATGACTTGATGGTCAGATTGGCTCCTGTTAGGTCAGGGGATGATTGGAAATTAACTAAAGCAGAGAAATGAAAACTAATGTGTGTGAGGTGTGCAAAGTAAAATTACAATGCAATTGTCACCACGTGCCCTCCAGAAGAGCAAAAATAGACACTGAAAATATGAAGTACTGGCAAGGATGTGGAGCAACTGGAACTCTCAGACATTGCTTGCAGGAGTATACATTGGTTATGGCCACTTTGGAAAATTATCTGGCAAGTTTTACTAAAATAATTCACATGCATACCATAAATCCAGCAATTTCTTTCCTAGAATTAAGCCCAGCAAAGATGTGTACACGTGTTTACCAAAAGATATGTACCAAAATGTTCATAACAGCACTATTCATAGTAGTCCAACTGGAAGTTGCCCTAATGTCCACCAACAGCAGAATGGATATACAATTTTTTGGTGTATAATGGAATATTAATAGCAAAGAGAATGAACTACCTACAACTACACACAAAAACAATGGTGACTTTCTCAAACACTGAGTGAAAGAAGCCAGACACAAAAGTATATATGCTATGATTCCATTTATATGGCCAAAACCACATTAAAACAGATGATATATTCAAAAGCAGATTAATTTATAATATCAGGTGTAGTACAGTAATTACCCTTGGGGAGGTAATGACTAGAAGTGGGCATGAGAGGGGTTTCGAGGGATGCAATTGATGTTCCCTGTGCTTGTTACACAGGGGTGTTCAATTTCTGACAATTCACCAAGCTGTACTTACAATAAGTGCAATTACCCATCGGTAGATGATATGTACACGAATGGTTAAAACTTTAAGATATGTGTAGGTGACAATCCAGGCAAGAATGGATTTCTCTCCAATCTCATCAGGGTCTAGTTGCTCTTGTTAAATGGAAAGGGGGGCTGGGGTTGCAGAAAGATTTCTCCATCTTTCCAGTTATCCCAACTCTGATGCTGTTCATGGTGGGTTACTAAAAATGTATCAGTGCCTTCAGATAAGATTGCACAAGCATGCACAGAAGTGAAAAATCACTTTCTCCTCTGTTTCCTCCTGCCTTCTTCCTCCCACATCTCCATCCCCCAATCAGCCTCCTGCTAAGTATTAGTTAACCTCCTAAATTAATACGTCTTGATCTTAAACCTAATAGGAAGGAATGTTTACTTTTGTATCTGGGTTCAAAGTACAGACTACAGTAGTTAGCTTTTAAGTTTATGTTATTGGCTTAATTTTCTTGCTCAAAATGAGATAAGGGAGGGATACATTAAGATTAATAAAGAAAAAAATGATTGATAAACTGGCTTATGTGACTAAAGTTCCTTTAGCGACAAAAATATTTGGTACCTTCCCTTAATTATTGAAATCAAGCAATGCGCCTGGATCTACATGACACAAAATGGTTTGAATTACAGTCAAATAATTGCCATTCTGGGTGAACATAAGCTTTTTCAAGGGGAGTGGTGAATGGGGATAAAATAATAACTAATAAACTCTGAAGCAAAGCTCACATCTAAGACTTAAGCTTCAAAGCTCTTAAAAAGGAGACTTTTTTTTTTCCTTAAGAGAGAGAGAGACTGAGATGCATGCAGAAGGAGGAGTGGTTTTCCCAAGCTGATTTTTCTTACGGGGTGACCAAGCCTGGGTCGGAATGTTACCATGTGATCAGCCCAGACCGTAGCAGCAACACAGTCTCAGCACAGAAGTTAGGACTTTCTGCAGCATCATTAAAATAATTGGGAGAGAAAAAAAATGTTAAGCTCCACAAGCTTGAATCACAAGCCTCTTGGAAAGGTTAATAAGCTTTCTGCTCTGTACTCTCCTCCCCTCTCTTCAATGCCCTGCCACCCCCACCCTTCCCACTTAGAATGACAGACTGGTTATCAGTCGGGAAAAGATTCAGAATAAAGCCTTTGTTTCCAAGAGCTGAACAGGCCCCCATTCCACCACTGATGTCTGGGAGGTTCTTGTTTATGACGATGACCATGGAGTTCCAAAAGGGAGCTCTGCTTTTATTCCCATGGCTGGGAGCAACTAGCTAGCAGATTCTTGGGGTCCAAAAGGAAGTCAGCCCTACAGTATAAAGGTGTGTCTGTCAGAGGAAAGGGAAGGAACTAGGAAAGTGGGTGGTGGCAACACACAGGCTGAGGTTGGACTCTGTTAATGAGAGGCAAGCAGCTTAGATCCAGGCAAGGGAAGACAGAACCGTCTTTAACCAGAGAAGCAGAAACAGTTGTAGCACAGCTCATAGAGAAAGTGTTGGAGCATGGAGTAAATTCAACTGCCTGGGTAGCGCGCCAGCTGGAGGAAGGCAGCAATTGGATAACTGGATTTGTGTCAGGAAAATGAGAGAGAGGAGGAAGGGAGTGAGAGAGACAGACAGAGGGAGGGAGAGAAAGAGAGATTGAGCTTTCTTCTTCCTCCCTTCTATTTGGCCTTGGAATACCCTGCAGACAAAGATGGACTTCCTTTAGCCGTGTCCTCTGGCCCAGGCTACCATCACCCCCCAAAGCCCTGAGCTTGAAACTGGGGTCAAGGTATGGTTATTAATGAGAGAACAGCTCCCTGCTCCTCCTCCTCATCAGTGAGCTTAAGTAAGTATAGCTGGTGCCAGTGCTGGCTATAGATGGAGGCCAAGAGAGAAATCAGCCTTCCCTAGAGAGTCAATGGCTTTTAAAATTTGGTTAAAACTGGTTGAGTTGGGTGAGCAGAGCTTCTCATGGAAAGAGAGAGCAGCTTAGACCTTAAGACAGATATTTCAGAAACCATATCCAGAGGAACAACCGATTTACAAAGGAAATCCTCACATCCTTGTGTTAAGTGAAAGCTCTCCCTGATGAGTGACAGTGGAAATGTGGACAACCGTGTGGATTTGGAGCTCATCCCTTATGAAGGCCACACTCCTTGGCAGTTACAGTTGACTTCCTATTGAATTCAACCTTCTCAGCTGAGTGTGGCATCAGGGAGGCCCTCCCAGCGGGGCATGTTCAGACCTCTGCAGCTGAAGTCTTTGCTCTGCTGATTAGCCTTTTATGTTTTGCTTCATTCCACACCCTAATCCCAATGACTACTATGCCATCAGCCCTTTTTAAGGGCAATTGCTCTGTTCCAACCCTGTGAAATGGACAGTCTTTATTGACTGATATTAAAAAAAAAAGTTGAGTTCAAATGTTTGTGTCTCATTCATAGGAAGCCTTCCACATGATCAATCAGTTACCCAACCTCTTTCCCTGTTGTGGCTCTGCCCTCCTCTGGGGTCTTGGAGTTCTCACCATGTAAGTACTGAATGGGAAAGTAGAGAGTAGAAAAGGCATCAGCTTCTTGATGCCTTTGTTTGGAAGTGGTACATATAATCTCTGCTTCCATTCTATTGGGGAAACTTAGTCACATGATCCAACCTAGTTTCAAGAGGCTCCGGGAAATGTAGGAAAGGACACCCCAGCCTAACAGCAGCTTTCCTCTAAGAGCATAATGCTTTGGTAGACAACCAGCCATGTCTGTCAAGGAAATCTTATTACGTATGACTCCCCCTCGGCCCTTACCACCACAGCTGATTGAACCTGAAGTACGCACATGCCTTGGTCACAGACTGGACAGTGGCATCCTGTTGCAAAATTATATGCCCCAACTGGCACAACGTTAGCTGGGTTGATTAGATAATATCTTTAAGAAACCTGAACTGCCCAAGTGGAGAAACATACAAGCAAAGAGTAACTGATTCCTGTTCGTGGAAGAGCACAGGGATAGATATCCACAAAGTCTTGCTGATGAATGCTTTTCCAGTTCTAGCATTTGCAAGGTCTGCCTGTTGTTGAAGCCACATGGTCAGAAAGGAATGATGCCAATATTCAAAGTCAGATTACCCTGGCTCCAAAGCCTGATTTTTAATACTAACTACTATTATTATTATTATTTACCTCATGATACCACTTCCCTATTCAATGTTTTAAATAGAGCCTCTTAATATTTTTGGTAAGTTGGTTTATTTTCTCAATTCCTTGGCACTTCCTATTTTCACAAAAGGTGTGAACCTTTTGCCATGTAACTTTGCAGTTTGTTTTCCTAGAAGCAAACTCAATTTTTCTACCCATTGATGGTGGGGTTGGCCATGTGACTAACTTTAATTAGTGAAATGTGGGTAGAAATGACTGTGGGACAGTCCCAGAAAAGGCTGTTTCACTCACCCCTTCCACTCTTGTGATCACAATACGAAGAGTATAACACAGGTAGCAAGAACCTCATCAGTTTGAGCCCTGAAATGTGATCATGGAACAGATTTGAACCCAACCTCAAGCCTAGAGCCAACCCTAGTCAACTCCCCATCTGAAGCAGAATAATCCCAGCTGCCCTTCAGACCCATGAGTGAGAAACATAAAGGCTTGTTGTTGTAAGCCCCTAAGATTTGGGGTGATTTGTTATGCAGCTTTATTGTGGCAAGGGCTGATGAATATAATGCTGTAAAGAAAATGTTTTTCTCTTTGGCACAATTGTATACATCTGTACTTTTCCAGGACCTACTATAAATATTTATATATGCCATATTATTATTTTTGATCCTATGTAAACAAATAATCCCTGCTTTAGCCTGAAAGGTAACCTACACCCTCTATTTTAGCAACCAAATTTATTAGCATTTAAGTAAAGAAAAGATTTAAGACTTGTCCAAGGAGTTTTCATACAGGTGATGCATTTATGAGATTTTGCATAATAAGAGAGGGGATATCATTTCTTTTTTTGACTCACTAACTAGACTTGGTTTCTCAGTCCTGGCTCAGGCCAAAAATCTCTTTGTTCTATTCTCCACCTGTTTTCTAGGTAAACAAGAAAAACAAATCAACCATTAAAAATAATGACAGCATCATTTCTTCATTTAAATTTCTCTCTTTCTTCTAGCATCAGTTCCACAGCTTCTGTCTAGGAGGCACAAAGAATATGGCACCAGAAAGATGCAGAAGGCAGCAGGGGGTGAATAGCATGTTGCATGTGTATACATGAAAGGGATTTTCAATTTCCAGTGCAAATTTTAAGTGTGTTTTTATTGCTTACGTCTTAAACTAGGACCAATCTCCAAGTCATTTACTTATGTGTCAGGATAAAAATATGATTACATAGATGAGGAATCGTCGGGTTAACAGTACCTCGAGATGTGTTTTGATCCAGCCACATACTCAAAAGGAAACGCTCAGGTCTCTATTCAGTTTGGTCAGTTCCCACATAATTTCCTTGACATATTAGTTGTTTGAATGAACATTTGCCAAGACCAGAAATAGAATATACATGTCTGTGCTGACACCCCATTGCCCATCCCCTTC